>NC_000010.11:79991580-80143095 GCF_000001405.40 Homo sapiens
CAAAAATACACATATAAACCAATGGAACAAAATAGAGAATGCAAACATAAATCCATGCATCCATAGTGAACTCATTTTCAACAAAAGTGCCGTGAACATACATTGAGGAAAGAACAGTTCAGTTCAGCTCTGATTTTGGTTATTTCTTGTTTTCTGCTAGCTATGGGGTTTGTTTGTTCTTGTTTTTCTAGTTTCTCTAGGTGTAATATTAGGCGGTTAATTTGAGATCTTTTTAATTTTTTGTTGTGGGCATTTAGCACTATAAACTTTCCTCTTATTACTGCTTTAAGGCTGAGTATGGTGGTTGATGTTTGTAACCCCAGCACTTTCGGAGGCTGAAGTGGGAGGATCACTTGAGTTCAGGAGTTCAAAACTAGCCTGGACAACACAGTGAGAACTTGTCTCTACAAAAGAAAAAAAATATATTAGCCAGGCATGGTGGCACGTGCCTGTAGTCCCAGCTACTCAGGAGGATTACTTGAGCTGAGGAGGTTGAGGCTGCAATGAGCTATGATCACACCACTGTACTCCTGAGTGACAGAGGGAGACCCTGCCTTGAAAAATAAAAATACTGCTTTAACTGTGTCCCAGAGATTCTAGTATGTTGTATCTTTGTTCTCATTACTTTCAAATAATTTCTTGATTTCTGCCCTACTTTCATTGTTTACCCAGAAGTCATTCAGGAGCAAGTTGTTTAATTTCCATGTAATTGTATGGTTTCGAGCAATCTTCTTAGTATTGCTTTCTATTTTTATTTCACTGTGGTCTGAGAGTATGGTTGGAATGATTTCCATTTTTTAAATTTAATTTTCTGAGAATGGATTTATGCTGTATTGTGTGGAGTATGGACTATGTGCTGATGAGAAGAATGTGCATTCTGTTGTTTTGGGTTAGAGAGTTCTGTGGATGTCTGTTAGGTCCATTTGGTCGAGTGTTGAGTTCAGGTCTCAAATATCTTTGTTAATTTTCTATCTCAATGATCTGTCTAATATTGTCTGTGGGGTGTTAAAGTCTCTCACTATTATCATGTGGTTATCTAAGTCTCTTCATAGGTCTCTAAGAATTTGTATTATGAATCTGGGTGCTCCTGTGTTGGGTGCACATATAGTTAGGATAGTTAAGTCTTCTTGTTGAGTTGAACACTTTATGTAATGCCCTTCTTTGTCTTTTTTGAGTACCGTTGGTTTAAAGTCTGTTGTCTGAAATTAGAATAGCAACCCATGTTGTTTTTTTGTTTTTCATTTGCTTGGTCAATTTTTCTCCACTCCTTTACTGTGAGCCTATGGGGGTCACTGCATGTGAGATGGGCCTCTTGAAGACAGAATACAGTTGGGTCTTGCTTTCTTATCCAACTTGCAACTGTGTACCTTTTAATTGGAGCATTTAGCCAATTTATATTCAATGTTAATATTGATACATGTAGATTTGATCCTGTCACTGTTTTGTTAGCTGGTTATTATGCCGACTTGATTCTGTAGTTGCTTTACAATGACAATGGTCTATGTACTTCAGTGTGTTTTTGTGGCAGCCCATAATGGTCTTTATTTCCATATTTAGCACTCCCTTAAGAACCTCTTGTAGGGCAGGTCTATTGATCACAAATTTCCTTAGTATTTGCTTTTCTGAAAATGAACTTATTTCTCCTTCGCTTATAAAGCATAGTTTGGGCAGATATGAAATTCTTGGTTTTAGTTTCTTTTCTTTAAGAATGCTGAATATAGACCTCCAATCTCTTTGGCTTGTAGGATTTCTGCTGAAAAGCCTGCTGTTGTCCTGATGAGGTTCCCTTTGTAGGTGACCTGCCCCTTCTCTCTAGCTGCCTTTAATATTTTTTTCTTTCACATCAACCTTGCAGAATCTGATGACTACGTGTCTTGGGGATGGTTGTCTTGGACAGTACCTTGCAGAGGTTCTCTGCATTTTCTGAATTTGAATGTTTGGCCTCTCTAGCAAACTTGGGGAAATTTTCATGGACAATACCCTCAAATATGTTTTCCAAGTTGCTTGCTTTCTCTCCCTCTATTTCAGAAATGCCAATGAGTCATAAATTTGGTCTCTTTAAATAATCCTATATTTCAGCTGGGTGCAGTGGCTCACGCCTGTAATCCCAGCACTTTGGGAGGCAAGTATTAACAGCAGAAAAGACCAAGTAGGGAAAGAATCTCAGAGCTTAAAGACTCCAAATTATCTCAATCAGACAAAACAAGAAAAAAGAATAAAAAAGAATGAACAACTAGGCACGGTGGCTCACGCCTGTAATCCAGCACTTTGGGAGGCCAAGACGGGCAAATCACAAGGTCAGGAGTTTGAGACCAGCCTGACCAACATGGTGAAACCCAGTCTCTACTAAAAATGCAAAAATTAGCCAGGCGTGGTGGTGCATGCCTGTAATCCCAGCTACTCGGGAGGCTAAGGCAGGAGAATTGCTTGAGCCTGGGAGGTGGAGGTTGCAGTGAGCTGAGATAACACCACTGCACTCCAGTCTGGGTGACAGTGAGACCTTGTCTTTAAAATATATATAAAGTAAAAAGTAAATAATCCTAAATTTCTCTAAGGTTTTGTTCTTTTTTTTTTTTTTTTTTTTTTTGTGAGATGGAGTCTCGTTCTGTCGCCTAGGCTAGAGTGCAGTGGTGTGATCTCGGCTCACTGCAACCTCTGTCTCCCAGGTTCAAGCAATTCTCCTGCCTCAGCCTCCTGAGTAGCTGGGATTACAGGCATGCACCACCACACCTGGCTAATTTTATATTTTTAGGTAGAGATGGCGTTTCTCCATGTTGGTCAGGCTGGTCTCGAACTCCCAACCTCGTGATTTGCCAGTCTCAGCTTCCCAAAGTGCTGGATTACAGGCGTGAGCCACCGCGCCCAGCTGTTCATCTTTTTTTATTCTTTTTTTCTTGTTTTGTCTGATTGAGATAATTTGGAGTACCAATCTTTAAGCTCTGAGATTCTTTCCCCATTTGGTCTTTTCTGCTGTTAATACGTGCAATTGTATTACGAAATTCTTGTAGTAAGCTTTCCAGTTCTATCATATCAGTTTGATTCTTTCTTTAAAATGACTATTTTGTCTTTTGGCTCCTCTATCATTTTGTTGTGTTCCTTAGATTCCTTGGATTAGGTTTTAACTTTCTCCTGGATCTCAAGTATCTTCATTCCTATCTATATTCTGGAATGTATGTTTGACATTCCAGTCATTTCAGACTATTTAAGGACCATCGTTAGGGCACTAGTGTGATCATTTGGAAGTTAAAAGACACTCTGGCTTTTTGAGTTGCCAGAGTGCAATGGTGCCGTCTCAGCTCACCACAACCTCCACCTCCTGGGTTCAAGCGATTCTCCTGCCTCAGCCTCCTGAGTAGCTGGGATTACAGGCATGTGCCACCATGCCTGGCTAATTTTATATTTTTAGTAGAGATGGAGTTTCTCCATGTTGGGCAGGCTGGTCTCGAACTCCCAACCTCAGGTGATCCACCCGCTTCAGCCTCCCAGAGTGTTGGGATTACAGGCGTGAGCCACCATGCCCGGCTGTGCTGGTTCTTTTTAATCTGTGTGGGCTCAAGTCCCTTTAATCTTTAATGTTGCTGTCCTTTCCTTTATCTTCTTTGAGGCCTTTAGGGGTTTGATTGTGGTATAAGATGGGTTCAGTCAACTGGATTCAATTCTAGAAGATTTCAGAGGACCAAGACTCAGCTCAGCACTCCTGGGCTGTGCACTCTAGTTCTGGGGGACTGGTACCAGGTCCCTGACTTTGTCTCTGGCCCATTGAGATTAGTAACCTCTGGCACTGGATGGGCCAAGGTGTTTCCAGTCTGCTGGCCACAACACTCCATTGGGGGTTGCTGGCCAAGGCGTTCCACTGGGGCAGTGTCAGCAGGGTCCATGCTCACTCGTGTGCACCAGCAGCTGCAGCAGCACAGCTGGGCTCACATGCATCGGCTGTAGCAGGGTGCTGGCCCTAGTCTTTGCCTTATTTTTCACGGATGCTATAACTGGCAAAATATTTTGGTGTTGCATTTTGGGCCACAATCCGGTAGGTAAAACTTAAGAGTGTTAGCCAGCAGATAGGCTGTTGCTCTGTTGCATGGCTCTTTTGTGTTTTGGCACATTTAACAGTATTGCTCTATGGTGATAGGGGAGAGAGATGACTCCCTCACCTAGTCTGCTACTGGGCCTTGGACGTGCCCCTCTGATACTGACCTCGTGCCAGTGTTTCTTTTGTTGGGTGTCTGGTCCATGAGGCTCCCTCAAGTAGGAGCCACAATTGGAGAAATCTAGGAGAGGAGTAGATTTGTGTCAGAGGGATTGAAGTCTCATTGTAGACACACAGAGTTTTATTTGCTGGGTAAAATCCAAGTGGAGGCCATATCTTTGCCAAAGTCAGCCCTGCAGAAGGAGGCACAGCCCACTCCATCAGCCTGAGAACCCAGGCATCTCACCTCTCTCAGTGATCCAAAAGTGAAGGCTTTTGGATCACTGAGAGAATTCCAGAAGCAGAACTGCTGGGCTGGAAGCTCTAGCAGGTGTGACCTGCCTGGAGATAAGAGGGCAGGGGTGGGTGGAGTCCTGCCATCAGTATATTTCCTGAGACAACAGGAGGCTGCACTCACTGGCAAAATTCAGGCAGAAGCAGGTATGGCCATCTGGCTACAAGCAGTGGGGGTGGGTAGAGTTGTCCACCTTGCTGTCCAGGTGTTTCCCAGGACAACAGGAGACTGTACCTGTCAGCTGAGCTCAGAAGTGGGACCACTGGGCTGGAAACTCTAACAGGCATTGCCTGCCTGGTTATCAGCAACAGGGGTGGGTGGAGTTGTGCACCCTGCCATCAGGGTTTCTCCTGGGGCAACGGGAGGCTGCAGCTGCTGGCTCAGTTCAGTCAGAAGCAAGACTGCTGAAGCTGGTGCCAAGCCTTGTCTGGCAAGGCAGGGTGGAGTCATCTTACTGCTCCCAGGCTCCACATCTGCAGCCTCTACTGGGGCTGTGACATTGGTGCTGGTTTGTTCTGGGGTCCAAAGTTTATAGAGGTTCCCATGAACTTGAGAGTTGCCTTTACAAAAACTCCAGGTGGCTAGCTGTCTGCCACAGTTTAGAATCAAGGTTAGGGAGCATATGCAGGGGGGAAGTACCAGAGGGATTCTCCCATTCCCAGGCTTGCATGGGGCCCTCTGGAGGGTGTGAATTCCCTGGGGTGCTCTCACTCACTCTTTCCAGTGCTGGAGAGCTTCTCCTGGTTCTACATTGATCCCAGATGGCAGCTGCCCAGCTTCAGTCCTCTCTGCCCTCTTCGTCCCCTTGCTGCCTTGGTGGATCCCAATGTGGTTTGTTCAATGTTCAGCTTGTAGGGTCAGTATTCACTAGCACTTTTGTTTCCTCTCCATGAGAGAGGCACATATGAGCTGCTTCTGGTCTGCCATCTTGACCCCTCCTTTCCTTCTACTTTTTAAGAAATCATTGATCATTTGGATTTTCCCAGAAATAGTTCTATTCATTTTATAACTTAGTAACAGAGTTACTTATATTTGTCTACATATTTTTCCTCCCAAACTTGATCTTAAATCCCCTTTCTAGATTACATTAATGATTAAATTCTTCCAGTTTTCAACCAACCAACAACTACAATGATCTTTGAGGAATTACAGAGCAGAAAGAGCAGGGGAAATATTTGCAATACTGTTTATAAATAGCATAAATCTAACACAATGAGTTTTTGTTTTTTAACTGATTCTGTGGTATCAGAAAAAGTTCCCAAAATGTTGGTTTGTGCAGCAAATCATTAGAAAGGAACTACCATGCCACCAGGGGCTGTGCCAGGTAATGGGGACACCACCAACAAACTGACAACTACCACATTTGGACCTGTCACTCCTCACCCTTGATTTTCAAACTTGCATACTCAAATATCCGCTTAATATCTCCACTTGGATTTTACCCAGCAAATAAAACTCTGTGTGTCTACAGTGCAACTTCAATCCCTCTGACACAAATCTACTCCACTCCTAGATTTCTCCTCTACTAAAAGGCAATTCCCGTTTTCCATTTACTCAAAACGTTGAAGCTTTGAGTCCCCTCTGGAGTCATCTTTGACTTTACCTTTTCTTTCACTGCATAACCAATACAGCATAAACACCACCCACTCTGTCTCCAAAATGTACTCAGTCTTACTAGTTCTCTCCATCTGCACAGCCAGCACCCTCTCTATCCCAAGATACCATCACCCTACAAATTAGCCTCACTCTACTCATGTTTTCCCAACACACATTGGTATCACATATAGATAAACAAGAAATGTGGCAAAATATCAATACCATTTTACCAGGTGATTAATGCTATTACACTGCTTCATAATTCTTTTCATTTTTTATATTATCTGTAAAAATGCAAATATTATGATACTTTTATTATGTGAGAAATTTCATACTTTTTATTTTGGTTGACTACCACTCTTTTCTCTTTGATATCATTCAATTATTTGCCTCTCTATTAAAAAAAAAACTAGTACCTACATCCATCTATATTTTTTCTTTTTTCTTTTCTTTTCTTTTTTTTTTGAGATGGAGTCTCGCTGTGTCACCCAGTCTGGAGTTCAGTGGTGTGATCTTGGCTCACTGCAACATCTGCCTCCCGGGTTCCAGCGATTATCCTGCCTCAGCCTCCTGAGTACCTGGGATTACAGGCATATGCCACCATGCCCAGTTAAATTTTATATTTTTAGTACAGACAAGGTTTCATCGTGCTGGCAAGGATGGTTTCGAGCTCCTGACCTCAGGTTATCCACCCATCTTGGCCTCCCAAAGTGCTGGGATTACATGTGTGAGCCACTGCGCCCAGCCTCATCTATATTTTCCAGGAAATTTACAAAGCTCTAAATTTGCCAGGCGTGGTGGCTCACACCTGTAATCCCAGCACTTTGGGAGGCTGAGGCAGGTAGATTGCCTGAGCTGAGGAGTTCGAGACCAGCCTAGGCAACACGGTGAAACCCTATCTCTACTAAAACACAAAAAATTAGCCGGGCGTGGTGGCATGCGTCTGTAGTCCCAGCTACTTGGGAGGCTGAGGCAGGAGAATTGCTTGAATCTGGGAGGCAGAGGTTGCAGTAAGCCGAGATCGCCCCACTGCATTCCAGCCTGTGCAACACAGGGAGACTCTGTCTCAAAAAAAAAAAAAAAACAAAAACAAAAACCTCTAAACTTACATGACTTACACACACATGACAATGCAGTTGTTTGACCAGTTCTCTGGTCGTAAAATTAGGGTAAGGGTGCTGTGCATATTTCTCATTAAGTCTGCACAATTCTTCCTCAGGAAATTTATCTTTGTGTTTTGTTTTTCCTCTTATTTTCTGTTCCCCTTACTTTATAACGCCATCCTCTTCAGCAATGGAACCTAATAGAAAGATGGAGATAGATAAGCATTGAAGACTGTGGCTCACACTTGTAATCCTAGTACCTGTAATCCCAGCTGAGGCAGGAAAGTCACCTGAGGCCAGGATTTCGAGACCAGTCTGGGCAATATAGTGAGACTCCATTTCTATTTAAAAAAAAGAAAAGAAAAAAAGAGTACTGGTAGTATTCAGAGAGAAAATGATTAATCACAACAATGTTGGTACAACTGACTACCTGTTTATAGTGTAGAATTAGGGCCTCACAGCCATTCACAATAATAATATTACAAATGGAAGCAGGGGTTGGCAAACTATTACAAATGGGCCCTATCCAGCCAGTTTCAGTTTTTATAAATAATTTTCTTGGGACACTAGCCACACCCATTTATTTACCTATTGTCTATGGCTGCTTTTAAGCCGAAATGACAGAGCTGAGTACTTGAAACTCCACTTTGCCCAATGCCCAAAATGTTTACTTTTTGTTGTTTGTAGGGAAAGTTTGCCAAGCCCTGGATTACAGAATTTATCTTTAAAATTAGGAGTAAATAAATGAGAATACTGTATAATTCCATTAATATTTTATATAAAACAGACAAAACTAATCTTTGCTGTGGTTAATTTATTTTATTTTATTTTGAGATGGAGTCTTACTCTGTCACCCAGGCTGGAGTGCAGTGGCACAATCTCGGCTCACTGCAACCTCCGCCTCCCGAGTTTAAGCGATTCTCCTGCCTCAGCTTCCCCAGTAGCTGGGATTACAGGCATGTGCTGCCATGCACAGCTAAATTTTTTGTGTGTTTTTAGTAGAGACTGGGTTTTACCATGTTGGCCAGCCTGGTCTTGAACTCCTGACCTCAAGTGATCCACCCGCCTCGGCCTCCCAAAGTGCTGGGATTACAGGCGTGAGCCACCATGCCCAGCTATGCTGTGGTTAAAAGTAAGGATATGAGCTACTGGGGGAAGGGTATCAGTGCCTTAAAGGGAACCAAAAGTAGGCTCCTGAAGTCAGGTAATATTATCTTTCTTTATCTGAATGTTTGTTCCATGAGTTTGGTTGTTTTGTGACAATTTATTAAACTGACTATGTATGATACATGGTCTTTTGGGTATGTGCACTATATTTCAATAAAGTTTATTTTCAATAGCCTACATGTCTTATCTAACCTGTACTCCTCCTGCCTTTCCTCTCTGACATCATTTTCTACTGTCCACCCCTCCGCCTCACATAGGCACCATCTAGTGGTATTGGCCTCCTTGCTTTTTCTTAAACATCTCAGGCTCCCTCTCACCTCAAGGCATTCCAACCTCTGCCTGCAAAGCTTCCTGACCTCTCATGATCCCCATATCCCTTGAATCACTCCTTCATCCCCCTCTCAGCCTTTGCCAGGTGGCCTTTTCAGATAGGCTTACTTTCATCTACCTATTTAAAGCTGCAATTCTCCAAAAATTCCTAATCCCCCTTATTTTATTTCCTTTTTTCACAATGCTATATTTTCTCAGTAATAATTTCTATTTCACTTATGATTACTTTCTGACCCTCTCACCCCTTCCCAAACACACTAAATTGAAAGCTCCAGAGATTGTTGGATTTTGTCTATCTTGTTTACTGATATTGTCTCAGAGCCTAAAATAATGCCTTACAAAAGTAAGCACACAATGAATATTTGTTGACTGGATTAATTAGAATGAATAGGTATGGATCAGGCCCAAAGTGTCAAGCACTGACGTAAAAGCCCTGAGCAAGATAGGCATGCCCCAGAAATAGAAATAGCAAGGCAGAGACTATGAGTGGAGTAGAGCGAGTGCATGCAGGGAAGGAGGAAGCGAGGTTACAGAGTAGATGGAGGTCAAATCATGAAGGGCCATGGGGCCAAGCATGGTGGCTCATGCCTGAAATCCCAGCACCTTGGGAGGCCGAGGTGGTGGATCACCTGAGGTCGGGAGTTCAACCTCAGCCTGACTGACATGGCAAAAAGCCATCTCTACTAAAAATACAAAAATTAGCTTGGCCTACTGGCACGTGCCTGTAATCCCAGCTACTGGGGAGGCTGAGGCAGGAGAATCACTCGAACCCGGGAACAGAGTTGCAGTGAGCTGAGATAGCGTCACTGCACTCCAGCCTGGGCAACAGAGCAAGACTTCATCTCAAAAATAATAATAAAAATAAAATAAATAAATAAAAATAAAGGGCCATGAAGCCATTGTAGGGCTGACTTTTGTATGAAATGGAATCAGAGGGAAGGTCCAGAACTAGGTAAGGCAAGTGAAAACTCACCTGGAATGCAGAAAGAGACCCAGTAATGAAGATAAAAAGTATTTTAATCTAACAGTTTATAAAGAATGAAATTGACAAACTATAGCCAACACAATGGATATTTGTTGTTTATAAATAAAGTTTTATGAAAAACAGTGCCAGGATATGATTTACCAGTGAAGTGGCTTCACTTGTGCAAGTTAGAGTTAGATCCTGATATTATTTAAAACTTCGATATCTTGTTCATCGTGAATTTTTGCACAAATTTTTAGTTTTTTAAATGTTGCCATAATATATTTATTGGATTTCCAGTTTCTGATCTGGCATGTAAGATGCTTGGAGGTCATCACTCCCATCCACAAAACATAAAAAAAAAACCAGTTAAACTGAAAATCAATAACTCTTCCTAGATTTATGAGAGAAGTGAGGTCACAGGCAAACTGCTGCCCTTTAAATTGAAGACAGACAGGAAGATGCAGAGAATCAAAACAAGGAGCAGAAACTGACTAGCAGAAACCATTGGCAGAATAGGAAAAGCTGCACTGCAATCAAGAGTTGCTGGAAGCACAGTATGGCCAGGCTTGAGAGTTAAAAATGCCAGGATAGTCCAGCCTTTGTTGGCTTTAGTCCCAAGAGTCCTACCAGGTTCTCAAAGTAAAGATCAGAGAAAATTCTCCTTGTGCTTTATGTAGGATGAGAGGAAAAGTAGACATTATGAAATATGCTCAGAGCATTCTCTTCTTCTTAAGGGATGCCCTCGAAAGAACCTATTTCACCAGAGCCTTCCCAACAGGGATTTTACCAGAACCTAGCTGATGTAAGAGAAGCAAAATTGCTAACTGCAATTGGGCAAGAATATGAAAGTAAAGGTGTTATATTGGAAAGGAAAAAGTGAAAATTTTCAGATGACATGACCTCTCATAGAGAAAATCCAAAGGAATCTAAAGACTGTTATAGCAAGTAAATGAGGTTGTAGAATGCAAGATCAAAAATTTTAAAAATCAGGCCAGGTGTGGCAGCTGACTCCTGTAATCCCAGCATTTTGGGAGGCCCGGGTGGGCAGATTGCTTGAGTCCAGGAGTTTGAGACCAGCCTGGGCAACATGGTGAAACCCTGTCTCTATTTTAAAAAAAGAAATAAACAATCAGTTTTATTTCTGTATACTGGCAATGAACAATTCAAAAATGAAAATAAAATAAACCTATACACAATATCATCAAAAAGAATAAAATACTTAGAAATATATTTAACAAAAAGATTCAACATATGCACACTGAAAACTTCAAAATGTTATTAAAAGAAAATATAAAAGATCTAAATAAATGGAGAAATATCCCATGTTTATGGATTGGAAGACTTAAACTCCCAAAAAGAGATCAACTAATACTCCCAAAAGAGATCAACAGATTCAATTCACTTCCTATCAAAATTTCAACAGCCTTTTTGCAGAAATTTACAAGCTGAACCTAAGATTCATTTAGAAATGCAATGGACCCAGAATAGCCAAATTAATCTCGAAAAAGAAGTACAATATTGGAGGACTTACGCTTCCCAAATTCAAAACTTACTACAAAGATATAACAATCAAGAAAGTGTGGGCTGGGCGCATGGCTCACGCTTCTAATCCCAGCACTTTGGGAGGCCGAGGCGGGCAGATCACGAGGTCAGGAGATCGAGACCATCCTCGCTAACACAGTGAAACCCCGTCTCTACTAAAAAAAATACAAAAAATTAGCCAGGTGTGGTGGCAGGGGCCTGTAGTCCCAGGTATGCAGGAGGCTGAGGCAGGAGAATGGCTTGAACCCGGGAGGTGGAGGTTGCAGTGAGCCAAGATTGTGCCACTGCACTCCAGCTTGGGTGACACAGCGAGACTCTGTCTCAAAAAAAAAAAAAAAAAAAAAAAGAAAGAAAGAAAGAAAGTGTGGTACTGACATAAGACAAAACTTATAAATCAGCTGAATAGAATTTAGAGTCCAGAAATAAACCCATACATCTATGATCCATTGAGTTCAACACCAATGCCAAGACAAATTCAATGGGAAAAGTATAGTCTTTACAAGAAAAGGTATTAGAACAACTGGCTATCCACAAGGAAAAGAATGAAGTTGAATATCTATCTCAAGTTACATACAAAAATTAATTCAAAAGGGAAGGAAGGCCTAAGCATACAAGTCAAAACTATGAAACCATCAGAAGTAAGCTTACCTGACCTTAGATTAGGCAACAGTTTCTTAGACATGATACCTAAAGCAGAAGTAACGAAACAAAAACTAGATAAATTGGCTTCATCAGAATTAAAAACTATTGTGCATCAAAGAACACTGTCAAGAAAGTTAAAAGTCATCACATGGTACGGGAGAAAATATTGATAAATCATTTATCTGTTATGGATTTAATATGCAGAATATACAAAGAATGGTTAAAACTCAACAATGAAAACACAAACAGCGCAATTTAAAAATGGGCAAAATGACAGGCCAGACCCAGTGGCTCATGCGTGTGTAATCCCAGCATTTTGGGAGGCTGAGGTGGGTGGATCACTTGAGGTCAGGAGTTTGAGACCAGCCTGGCCAACATGGTGAAACCCTGTCTCTACTAAAAAAATACAAAAATTAGCTGGGCATGGTGGCACATGCCTGTAATCCCAGCTATTTGGGAGGCCAAGACATGAGAGTCATTTGAACCAGGAGGTGGAGGTTGCAGTGAGCCGAGTTTGTGTCACTGCACTCCAGCCTGGGCAACAGAGCGAGACTCTGTCTAAATTAATTAATTAATTAAATTAAAATGGTCAAAATGAAAATTTTTTCTGGAAATAAGAAACACAAAAGCCAATAAGCACATTAAAAGATAGTCAACATCATTAAACACTAAGAAAATGCACACCAAAACCACAAAATGAGGCCTGGCACAGTGGCTCACACTTGTATTCCTAGCCGAGGCAGGAGGATTGCTTGAGGTCAGGAGTTCAAGACTAACCTGGCTAACACAGCAAGACCCCATCTCAAAAAAAAAACAAAAAAAAAAAAACCCACAAATGACACCATGGCACCACTCACTAGAGTGACTATAAGTTTTTTTTAAAACAATGTGTTGGCAAGGATATAAAGAAACTGAAGTGCTTATACATCTCTGGTGAGAATATAGAATGGTGAAGCTGAAGGTGGAAAACAATTTTGAGTTCCTCAAAAAGGTTAAATATAAAGTTACCGTATAACCCAGCACTTCCCCTAGTAGATACATACCTAAGAAAACTAAACAAGCTGGGCATGGTGGCTCATGCCTGTAATCCCAGCACTTTGGGAGGCTGAGGCGGGCAGATCACCTGAGGTCAGGAGTTCGAGACCAGCCTGGCCAACATGGTGAAATCTCATTTCTATTAAAAATACAAAATTAGCCAGGTGTTGTGCCAGGCGCCTGTAATCCCAGCTACTCAGGAGGCTGAGGCAGGAGAATCGCTTGAACCCGGGAGGCTGAGGCTGCAATGAGCCGAGATCACATCACTGCACTCCAGCCTGGGCAAGATAGAGCAAGACTCTGTCTCAAAAAAAAAAAAAAAAAAGCAAACTGTAAACCTATGATGACACAAAAGCTTGTACACTAGTCTTCATAGTAGCATTATTCATAATAGCCAAAAGGTGAAAATAACCCAAATATTCATCAACTGAGGAATGGATGAACAAAAAGAACATTAAAAGGAATAAAGTACATTGGGGGAGGTTGACATGGGGAGGGATAGCATCAGGAGAAATACCTAATACAGATGACGGGTTGATGGGTGCAGCAAACAACCATGGCACATGTATACCTATGTAACAAACCTGCAGGTCCTGCACATGTGTCCCAGAACTTAAAGTATAATTAAAAATTTTTAAAAAGGAATAAAGTACAATACAATATGGATGACCATTGAAAATAGCAAGCTAAGTGAATGAAGCCAAAAACAAAAGGCCACATATTGTGTCATTCCATTTATATGAAATGTCCAAGGCCGGGTACAGTAGCCCATGCCTGTAATCCCCACACTTTGGGAGGTCAAGGCAGAGGGATATCTTGAGTCCAGGAGTTCGAGACCAGTCTGGGCAACATAGCAAGACCTTGTCTCTACAGAACATGAAAGAAAGCCAGGGAGGATGGCTTGAGTGCTGTTGCCAGGGAAGGAGAGGAATGTGGATGTGGAGTGGCTGCTAATAGGTACAGGATTTATTTTTGGAGTAAAGAATATGTTCTGAGTTTAGATAGTGGTAATGATTGTACAACCTTTAGAATATACTTAAAGATGTTGAATTGTATAGTAATTTAAATATATAGCATTTAAAATGGCAAATTTTATAGTATACAAATTATATCCCAATTTTTAAAAAAATGACTATGCCACTACTTACTGAATCCACAATTTCCCCTCCAGAGGCTAAAGAGTGATTTCAGTTCCAGAGGCAAAGTCCCCACATGGTCACCATGTGCTTCTTCAAAACTGACAAAAACTGGACCAGGACTGGTCTGCAAGAAGGGCAAACTTCTCCTTGACTCTTCCTTTCATGTTTCTCAGACCCGAGTTCAGAGAAAGATGGGGCAGGCTTGGGGGCCTGGGGGTCTTCCGAGAGGGTACAGAGGTCTTTCTGGAAGGGATGCAGGACGCTGGAGATCCCAAGCCTCAGAAGGAACTTTGACCTCCACCGGGTGCTCACTGTGGGACACCTTTCCGCTCCTGCTACAAAACCACTCAGTGCAGGATGAATCCTGGAGCCGCAGAATGGCTTACTGATCTGCCAGGGCCTCCCAGGAGAGTACAAATGCCTTGAACCTCCAGGTCTGGGTACGGAGCCTCTTCAAGTCTCTTCAGCCTTGAACAAAAACCCAACAGGACCCAGGACCTCACCCACCTTCTCACTCACATTCTACCATCCACATAACAAGACTTAAAGGTGTTCAATGCTGGCTGGGCATGGTGGCTCATGCCTGTAATCCCAGCACTTTGAGAGGTTGAGGTAGGCAGATCACCTGAGGTTGGGAGTTCGTGACCAGCCTGGCCAATGTAGTGAAACCCCGTCTCTACTAAAAATACAAAAATTAGCCAGGCGTGGTGGTACACGCCTGTAATCCCAGCTACTTGGGAGGCTGAGGCAGGAGAATCGCTTGAACCTGGGAGGCAGAGGTTGCAGTGAGCCTAGATAGCACCACTACACTCCAGCCTGGGCAACAAGAGCAAAACTCCATCTCAAAAAAAAAAAAAAAAAAAGGCCGGGTGAGGTGGCTCACGCCTGTAATCCCAACACTTTGGTAGGCCGAGGTAGGTGGATCATGAGATCAGGAGATCAAGACCATCCTAGCTAACACGGTGAAACCCCATCTCTACTAAAAATACAAAAAATTAGCCAGGCGTAGTGGCATGCACCTGTAGTCCCAGCTACTCGGGAGGATGAGGCAGGAAAATTGCTTGAACTCAGGAGGCAGAGGTTGCAGTGAGCTGAGATCACGCCAGTGCACTCCAGCCTGGTAGACAAAGCAAGATTCTGTCATAAATAAATAAATAAATAAATAAATAAAGGTACCCAATGCTGTACATGCAACAATTTCCTAAAACTACCTCAAGAACAGGATATCTGGTTGACTCAATTTGTAAAAGGGACATCTAATTTATATGAGATGCCAGATATATCTGAATTTTTCTCTCCCCTGGCTGGACACTAATCCTCACCTGTAATTGCCAGTAACTTAGTCCCTACCTCTTGTTTCAAAAGCTAAAATTCACTTTTTTTGTCCAGAAAATGCAAACCTGGATACCTCCCTTCAGAGGATAGAAGTAGATTTGTAGAGAAGGTTAGGGATAGAGAGGAGGTAGGCAGGGGAGATGTAGATATAACATAGATATAGATACAGGTATAATTTACATAGAACTATACATAAAAAGAGTATATATTTATACAGAGAGAGGTACATATAGACACATGTTGAACATCCCAAATCTGAAATGCTCCAAAATTTCAAACTTTTTGGACACTGACATGATGCCCAAAGAAAATGCTCATTGGAGCATTTCAGATTTTGGATTTTCAGATTTGGAATGCTCAACCAATACAATGCAAATACTCCAAAATCTGAAAAAAAAAATTCAAAATCTGAAACACTTTTGGCCCCAACCATTTTAAATAAGTGATTCTCAACCTATACAAATATAAATGAATATATGTCAACTGACAAGCATCGGATTTGTTTTCATAACTTGGAGAACTCTTTCCACATTTGTGTTGCAAGTATCAGAATATGACTAGTGATACTTGGAGTTCTCATCTCTGGATAAACTTGAGAATCACTTGCGGGAACACAATAATCTCAGGAAACAACTTAAAACTAAAAAAGAATTACATCAGACTCTCTTCAGATAGTTCTGTGTCATAAATATGTGGGCATGCGTGCACACACACATATGTTAATCCCCTAGGTGGTTAATGAATGTACAGCTCATGTTAGGAGCAATAGCTTCTGATGAGTGTACTTTGGTAATGAAGAGAGTTTGGAATATGCTGGCACTTGTGCTTCCGTGTATAAACTCTTACACATATGTACCCAGATACAACATTAAAAATGTCTACTACACGGCCAGGTGCGGTGGCTCACACCTGTAATCCCAGCACTTTGGGAGGCCAAGGTGAGTGGATCACCTGAGATCAGGAGTTTAAGACCAGCCTGGCTAACATGGTGAAACTCCATCTCTACTAAAAATACAAAAATTAGCCAGGCGTGGTGGCGGGCACCTGTAATCCTAGCTACTTGGGAGGCTGAGGCATGAGAATTGCTTGAACCCGGGAGGTGGAGGTTGCAGTGAGCTGAGATGGCACTACTGAACTCCAGCCTGAGCGACAAGAGTGAAACTCCATCTCCAAAAAAAAAAAAAAATGTCTACTACATACCTGTAAGAAGTACAAAACTAGTATGTTTGTAGACATAAGCTATGAACTAGATCTATGTTGTGCACCTAATGTCATTCCAACACCTTCAAGTGCAAATGAAGAAGATGGAAAATTACTGAAAACTTGTATAATGGGGACATAATGCAATTTGATAAAGTAACACAAGGAAAGGATAATAATTTTTTCAAATATATTTTTATTGTACAAAACTAAAGCCACATACACTTTGTTACGTTATGATGTATTTTCACGTTATTACATCAAAAGAAGGTAGAAGACTGAGAAGAGGGATGATTATTGAAGAGATTTTAAGGTTATATATAATTCATTTGTAATAAAATAGGCTATTTTATGGGTATGTATGGAAATAACTACCTCAGCATAAGATTGTATACGAAAAATCCACAGCTAGGCCAGGCGCAGTGGCTCATATCTCTAATCCCGAAACTTCGGGAGACTGAGGTGGGTGGACCATGAGGTCAGGAGTTTGAGACCAGCCTGGCCAACATAGTGAAACCCTGTCTCTACTGAAAATACAAAAAAATTAGACAGGCATGGTGGTGCGTGCCTGTAGTCCCAACTACTAAGGAGGCTGAGGCAGGAGAATCACTTGAACCTGGGAGGCAGAGGTTAGGTGAGCCCAGATCGCACCACTGCACTCCATCCTGGGCAACAGAGCAAGACTCTGTCTCAAAAAAAAAAAAAAAAAAATACACAGCTAACATCATACTCAACAGTGAAAAACTAAAAGCTTTTCCTCTCAGGTAAGGAAAAGCGAGGATGTCCACTCTTGCCACTTCTATTCCAAGATAGACTGGAAGCCCGAGCCAGAGCAATTAGACAAGAAAAAGAAAAAAGGCATCCAAATTGGAAAGGAAGAAGTAAAATTATCTGTTTATGGATGATGTGGTCTCATAAATAGGAAAACCTAAACAAAGCTATTAGAAATAATGAACAAATTCATCAAAGTTACAGGATTTTAAAAAAAATCAGCATACAAAGATCAAATGTGTTTCTATACATTAACAATTAACAATCTGAGTAGCCAGGTGCAGTGGCTCATGTCTGTAATTCCAGCACTTTGGGAGGCTGAGGCGGCGGATCATGAGGTCAGGAGTTTGAGACCAGCCTGACCAACATGGTGAAACCCCGTCTCTACTAAAAATACAAAAATTAGCCACGCATGGTGGTGCATACCTGTAATGCCAGCTACTCAGGAGGCTGAGGCAGGAAAATTGCTTAAACCTGGGAGGCAGAGGTTGTGGTGAGCCAAGATGGTGCCATTGTACTCCAGCCTGAGCAAGACAGAGTGAGACTCTGTCACAAAAAAAAAAAAAAAAAAAAAAAAGCCAGGCACAGTGGCTCACGCCTGTAATCCCAGCACTTTGGGAGGCTGAGGCAGGTGGATCATGAGGTCAGGAGATCAAGACCATCCTGGCTAACAGGGTGAAACCCTGTCTCTACTAAAAGTACGAAAAATTATCTGGGCGTGGTGGTGTGTGCCTGTAGTCCCAGCTGCTCGGGAGGCTGAGGCAGGAGAATGGCGTGAACCCAAGAGGCAGAGCTTGCAGTGAGCCGAGATCATGCCACTGCACTCCAGCATGGGCGGCAAAGCGAGACTCTGTCTCAAAAAAAAAAAAAAAATCTGAAAAAGAAGAAAACGATCCCATTATGAAAGCATCACACAGCTGGGCTTACCTATATATCGAAAAAAAAAGCACTAAAAGAAATAAAATATTTAAGAATAAACTTAACCAAGGAGGCAAAAGGCTTGTATACTCAAAATTTCATAACGTTGAGCCAAATTTAACAAAACACAAATAAATGAAAGCAATCTTGTGTTCCTGAATTTCAAGATTTAATATTGCTAAGATTCTCATACTATTTAAAACCTATAGATTAAATGCAATCCCTATCAAAATTTCAATAGCATTTTATAGAAATAGGAAAAACTACCTTAAAATTCCTATGGAATCTGGGCCCAGTGCAGTGGCTCACACCTGTAATCCCAGCACTTTGGGAGGCCAAGGCAGGTGGATCTCTTGAGGTCAGGAGTTCGAGACCAGCCTAGCCAACATGGTGAAACCCCACCTCTACTAAAAATACAAAAATTAGCTGGGTGTGGTGGCGCATGCCTGTAATCCCAGCTACTTGGGAGGCTAAGGCAGGGGAATCACTTGAACCTGGGAGGCTGAGGTTGCAGTGAACCAGGATGGTGCCAGTGCACTCCAGCCTGGGCAATTGTGAGTTGAGTGAGACTATCTCAATAAAACAAAAACAAAATTCCTATGGAATCTCAGAGAAAAGCAAAATAGCCAAAACAATCTTGAAACAGAAGAACAAATTTGGAGATCTCACAATTTCTGATTTCAAAACTAATTATAAATTGATAGTAACCAACAGAGTATGGTACTGGCATAAAGGCAAACATATAGACCAATAAAACAAAATAAAGAGATCAGAAATAAACTCAGGAAAATGTAGTCGAATGGTCTTCAACAAGAGGACCAAGATCATACAATGCAGAAAGGACAGTGTCTTCAAGATATAGAGTTGGGAAAATTGAACACTTACATGCGAAATAATGAAGTTGGATCCTTACCTTACACCATATATGAAAATTTACATTTAAATATTCCATTCATTTTGAGCTAATTTTCATCTTATAAATTTCATATTATACTTTTTTTTGACGGAGTGTTCCTCTTGTTGTCCAGGCTAGAGTGCCATGGCGCAATCTCATCTCACCACAACCTCCACTTCCCAGGTTCACGTGAATCTCCTGCCTCAGCCTCCCAAGTAGCTGGGATTAAAGACATGTGACACCACACCCAGCTAATTTTGGTCTCAAACTGGCTAGTCTCGAACCCCTGACCTCAAGTGACCCTCCTGCTTCAGCATCCCAAAGTGCTGGGATTACAGGCATGAGCCACCACGCCTGGCCTCATATTATACTTTGAAGCCTTACATTTAAATCTTCCATTCATTATGAGTTAGACCTAAAAGTATAAAACTCCTATAAGAAATCATAAGGGAGGGTGGCTTATCCTCATTTGAAAAAGAAATCATAAGGGAGGCCAGGCATGGTGGTTCACACCAATAATCCCAACATTTTGGGAGGCCAAGGCAGGAGGATGGCTTGAGTCCAGGAGTTCAAGACCAGCCTGGGCAACATAGGGAGACCTCACCTCTATAAATATAAATAAATAAATAAATAAATAAATAAATAAATAAATAAATAAAATAAAAAGAAATCATAAGGGAAAAGCTTCATGAAGTTAAATAGTCCATGATTTCTTGGATTGACACTAAAAGCTCAGGCAACAAAAGCAAAAATAGACAAATAGGACCATATCCAATGTTAAAACCTATGTGGATCAAAGAACACAAAGTGAAAGGCAAGCTATGGGATGGGAGAAAATGTTTGCAAATTATATCTGATAAGGGGTTAATATCAAGAATATATAAAGAATTCCAACTGGGCACCGTGGCTCACACCTATAGTCCCAGCACTTTGAGAGGCCGAAGTGGGGAGATCACTTGAGCCCAGGAGTTCTAGATCAGCCTGGCCAACATGACAAAACCCTGTCTCTGTGAAAAATACAAAAAATAGCCAGGCATGGTGACACACACCTGTAGTCCCTGCTACTTGGGAAGCTGAGGTGGGAGGGTCACCTGAGCTCAAAGAGGTTGAGGCTGCAGTGAGCCAAGATTGCACCACATCACTCCAGCCTGGGCATGGAGTAAGACCCTGTCTCAAAAAATAATATAAGTCACATAATATATAAGAATTCCTATAACTCAACAACAAAAAACTCGATTGAACAATGAACAAATAACTTAAATAGACATTTATCCAAAAAAGGCATACATGTGAAACGATGCTTAACATCACTAATCATTAGAGAACTGCAAATCAAAAGCACAGTGAGATATCACCTGACACCCATGAGGATGGCCACTATCAAAGCAACAAAAAGTGACACGTGTTGATGAGGATGTAGATAAGTGAGAATTCTTGTACACTGCTGGTGGGAATGTAAAATGGTACAGCTGCTATGAGAAACATTAGAAAGCTTCCTCAAACAACAAAAAATGGAATTACCATGTCCAGCAATCCCACTTCTGGGTATATGCCAATAGAATTAAAAGTAGGATCTCAAAGACATATTTGTACACCTATGTTCATTGCAGCATTATTCATGATAGCCAAGAGAAGCAACCCAAATGTCCATTGATACATGAATGGATAAACAAAATGTGGCATATACATTAAATGGAATATTATTCAGCCTTTAACAAAGGAAATCCCATCACAGGCCACGTAGAACCTTGAGGATATTATACCAAGTGAAATAAGCCAGTTACATAAAGTAAATGCTGTATGATTCTACTTATGTGAGGTATGTAAAGCAATCAAACTCATCAGAACAGAAAGTAGAATGGTGGTTGGCAGGGGATAGGAAAAGGGGAAATCAGGAGTTGTAAATAAGAGCGTTACAGACCAAATTGTGTCCCTCCCAAATTCACGTGTTGAAGTCCCAACCTCAACAGGATTGTATTTGCAGATAAGACCTTTAAAGAAGTAACTATGATTAAATGAGGCTTTAACTGGCTGGGTGTGGTGGCTCACACCTGTAATCCCAGCACTTTGGGAGGCCGAGGTGGGCAGATCACCTGAGGTCAGGAATTCGAGACCAGCCTGGCCAACATGACAAAACCCTGTCTCTACTAAAAATACAAAAAATTAGCCAGGCGTGGTGGCACACGCCTGTTGTCCCAGCTACTTGGGAGGCTGAAGCAGAAGAATCGCTTGAACCCGGGAGGCAGAGATTGCAACAAGCTGAGATCACACCACTGCACTCCAGCCAGGGTGACAGAGCGAGACTGTCTCAAACAAAAAATAAAAATAAAAAAACTTACAGCTATCTATTGCACAACAATGTGAATATAATTAACATTACCAAACTGTACACTTAGTAATTGTCAAGACTGTAAATTAAATATTTTATTTTTACAATTAAAAATTAAAAAATAAGCACTCCCCTTTGGGCTTCAAAATGGTAGGCACTTCTTTCACCAGTACCACAATGTGCTTGTTGTTCATTTTCCTTTATATCACACTAATTTTGCATCCAAGGAAAGGAGGCCTGGATCGAGGTCATAAAAAAAAAAAAAAAAATCCTCCTCCTAAATCTAAAGCCTTGGCGAACTTCCCAGCATGTGGAGCAGAATCTGAAAATCTTCACTAAGCGGTTATTCAGGTCATGGACTGTCATCTGCTTAGAAAGATGATATCTTTTCCTGAGAATCTGTGGCAGACAGAAGTTAACCTAAAAAGCTTGAAGTTTATCCATAGTGCTGGTATGGTCAGTCAAGTAGTGCGATGGCTTTAAAAGGGGTGGGGCCTGTGCTGCCACCTGTGTCTCAGTTTGTCCAGGATATGCAGGTCCTTTTACAAGGTTCCCATCAGCAACAAGAGACTGGAGACACTCATTCCAGCATTGCATAGAGAGAGTGTGTCTTGCTGACCCAGGCCATGCCATTGCTGTTTAGGGTCACCAGGCTGAGGCTGAGCCAGATTCTTAAAGGGCAGCACTACCAGGCCAGTGTGCTTGTTCCCCTTGTCACCTTGGCATCTTCCTTGGTATGGGGGTCAGAAAGGAGTCTGCATATGTGACAGCCCCACTCATAGAATTGGTACTATTGACACAGGACTTCTAAGTGTCAAAGGAGAGTGAGAGCTCTCTCCCTGCACACCCTGGGTAGGCTGAAGCATCATGACCCCTGGTCCCTGGCTCATGCAGCTCCCAGGGGGATCCCAAGGAACAAAGGACATGTAGAATGGGAGAAAAGCCAGTACAAATGACTGTTTGCTGCTGAAAAACTTGGAAGGAGGAACGGGAGCAGATCTGCCCACCTCTGCCTCCCAAAGTGCTGGGATTACAGGCATGAGCCACCACGCCCAGCCAAGTCTGACACCTTTAAAAGTCTGAAAAGAAACATTTACCGCTGGGTGCCATGGCTCATTCCTATAATGCTAGCACTTTGGGAGGCCAAGGCAAGCTGATCACTTGAGCTCGGGAGTTTGAGACCAGCCTGGGCAATATGGCAAAACCTCATCTCTACAAAGAAAAAAAAAAAAATTGGCCAGGTGTGCTGGCATGCACCTGTAGTCCCAGCTACTCAGGAAGCTGAGGTGGGCAGATTGATTGAACCTGGGAGGTCAAGGCTGCAGTAAGCAAGGATCACACCACTGCACTCCAGCCTGGGTGACAGATGGCAGTCTTGTCTCAAAACAAAACAAAAAACAACGGCTTACCATCTATTCTCTTTGAGGGAGGTATCATCCATATAACAAGGCCAACTATGCTAGTCCACCTTCTTCCTTTCTCTCTCTTAACCTGTCTTGCCACTAAACCTGATTTACTTGTTTCGGACCATGCTCCAAGTCTATATTTTTTAGTGGCCTCAGGATGGTATATAAGTTTCTGTAACTCTTTGGGAAGTTGGGTCTTCATTCTGAAGACTCCTGTGTACACGTTAAATAAATCTGTATGTCGTTTCTCCTGTTGTCTGAGATGTTTGAACCAGAGTGGCTCCATCTGGAATAGGGGCTGGTTAAAATGAGGCTGAGACCTACTGGGCTGCATTCCCAGGTAGTCAGTCATTCTCAGTCACAGGATGAGAGATGGAAGTCAGCACAAGATACAGGTCACAAAGACCTTGCTGATAGAACAGCCTGCAGTAAAGAAGCCAACCAAAACCAAGATGGTCACGAAAGTGATCTCCGATCATCCTCACTGCTCATTACATGCTAATTAAAATGCATTATTTTATTTTTTATCTTTTATTTATGTATTTATATATTTATTTATTGTCGGGTTTTTTTTTTGGATGAAGTCTTGCTCTCTCATCGAGGCTGGAGTGCAATGGTGCCATCTAGGCTCACTGCAACCTCCGCCTCCTGGGTTCAAGCAATTCTCTTGCCTCAGCCTCCCGAGTAGCTGGGATTACAGGTGGGCACCACAACACCTGGCTAATTTTTTGTATTTTTAGTAGAGATGGGCCTGGTGGCGGGCACCTGCAATCCCAGCTACTTGGGAGGTTGAGTCAGGAGAATTGCTTGAATCTAGGAGGTGGAGGTTGCAGTGAGCCAAGATCGTGCCACTGCACTCCAGCCTGAGCAACAGAGCAAAAACTCCGTCTCAAAAAATGAAAAATCAAAAAAGATAAAGAGAAAAAGAAAAAAGAAGAAAAAGGAAAATAAGAAAAAAAACCCAAAAAGTTCAAAAACAAAACAAAAAAATACAAAATATTTTACAGAGTTTAACTCTTTTCATCGGCACTATTGATCTGCTTTTAATTCCCAAGCATTGTGCTCAAAGCCTATATCTGTTATCTAAATTAATTAATCAAAATATTTTTAGATAAAAAGTCTTACACACAGCTGGAATCTAAACTAATGAATGCCTTTATGAATACCATATGAGAGCTAACAGCACCTTACATTGTTTCCTGGCCTTTCCTTCTCACCATAGGTTCCAACGAGCTCAGTACCTCTCAGGCAGCCAATCACCAGGTCTTCTCACATGCAGCAATTTTATTACCAGAATTTGAGTAAACCCTATCTCCCATACCCAGAACAGATCATCTAAACATGAAACTGCCTTTGCAAAAGTTATAACAGTGAGAAAATTATGACAGTGGAAGAGATCTGAACTAACCAGCCCCCACCTTGCCTTTATTAATTAATTTATCTACTTTTGAGACAGGGTCTTGCTTTGCGGCCCAGGCTAGAGTGCAGTGGTGCAATATTGGCTCACTGCAACCTCCACCTCCCGGGCTCAGGCTACTCTCCTGCCTCAACCTCCCAAGTATCTGAGACTACAGGTGCATGCCACTACACCCAGCCCAGTTTACCTTTAACCTCCAAACTATCCCTAGGCATTCCTGGGCCTGGGCGAAGCTAACTTTGGGAGACATTTAGTTTATAGTTTAAATGATAATAGCCCTTCCCCAAAACTGCCTTTGTAAAGCTAATGAAAGACCACCAGGATAGGAGGATAAGAGGAGCCTGAATTCTGCTGATGTGGAGGCCTAAAGGATTACCAGCCATTATTACACAGGTCACAATTTCCCCAATTACTCCTCCAGATAACATCACTATTGTAGAACCTAAGATTGGCCTTTTGAGATGTCTTACAGGTTTTTGCACTTCTGACAACTGATAGCTCCACCCAGACTGCCAGCCACCCTGTGGGCCCACCCAGATGCAGACTCAGCACAGGAGGACCATATTCCACACCCGTATGATTACATCCCCACCTAATCAGGTACATCCGTTCCCTTACCTGCCAAACTATCCTTGAAAAATCCTAGCCTCTGAATTTTCAGGGAGGTTGATTTAAGTAAAAACTACTTCTCCACGTGGTGAGGCCAACCTCATGTCAATTAAATTCTTTATTGCAATGCCTTGGTCTCAGTTAATTGGTTTCATCTGCACAGTAGGCAGGACGAACCCATCAGGCAATTAAAAACATAAAATTTTATCCTCTTGAGCATTTTCAAAAATTGAGGTCATTATAACCAATTAATCAGAGACTGTATATTAGATGCTAACACCTGAACTCAATTTTTACCCCTAAAAAGACATATCCACTTATCTTCATTGGTTTAAATACCATCTCACTTGGGACAATTATATGCCTTATCTCTTTAATAAGTTAAAAAATTATCTTAGTTTAATTATTGCATCAATAATTTTATTCAAAATAATTCAATATAGAATTTCTTGTGTATGAATCAAATTAGGGACATTAGCTTAAAAAAAATTAGGGCCAGATGTGGTGGCTCACACCTATAACCTCAGCACTTTGGGAAACTGAGGTGGGAAGATTGCTTGAGCCCAGGAGTTTCAGACCAGCCTGGGCAAGATGGCAAGACCATATCTATACAAAAACTTTTTAAAATTAGCTGGGACCGGTGCAGTGGCTCACGCCTGTAATCCCAACACTTTGGGAGGCCGAGGCAGGCGGATCACCTGAGGTCAGGAGTTCCAGACCAGCCTGGCCAACGTGGCGAAGCCCTATCTACTAAAAATATGAAAATTAGCCAGGCGTGGTGGTGCATGCCTGTAGTCCCAACTACTCAGGAGGCTGAGGCAGCAGAATCGTTTGAACCCCGGAGGTGGAGGCTGCAGTGAGCTGAGATTGCACCACTGCATTCCAGCCTGGACAACAGAGCAAGACTCAGCCTCAAAAAAAAAAAAAAATTAGTCGGTCATGGTGGCTTGTGCCTGTAGTCCCAGCTACGCAGAAGGCTGAAATGGGAGGACTGATTGAGCCCAGGAAGTCGAGGCTGCAGTGAGCTGTGATTGAGCCATTACACTCCAGTCTGAGTGACAGAGTGACATCCTGTCTCAGAAAGAAAAAAAACAAGAGATATACACAGAGTTATTGCTCTTGTTTTATTTTTTTCACTACATAACAGGAATAAACTTCATGGCAAAATAGAGACCTAAGAGAATTGCTTGAAAGTGCTTAGCCTAGCTTTTCTCTTTACTTAACTTTGAAAGAAAATAAATAGAAACCAAATGCCTACCTGAATTCTAGGCTCTGGAATGCCAATTTCTTTGGCCAGTTGATCCCTGGCAGCTATACCAGGATAGGGATTCTTTTCAAACCATGCCTGGAGGGTATCTTTTTGACTCTGGTTCAAAACAATCCTCTTTCGCCGGGCCTCTCTTTCTAGTGAGCCTAGCAAAGACACAAAGGAATAAAAGAGTATGAAGAATGTGCTTATAGATTAAAATTGCTGGCATTATTTCAGACGGAAAGCCAATATATCCATTGATGACTCTATGTTTTTACTTTAGCAACATATCTTAAGTCATGCTAGTAAGGACACATATAAGTGTAAATTCATCTTTTAGGAAATATGATAGGCAATGATCTAAGTATACAGAGCAAAAGCTTACAGAAATTCCACAATAGTAACATGCAAGAAAATAGGAAGCAACAGAATTAGAAAAATGCGTAAAATTAATAAAACAGGTAAATATCATGTAAAAAACTAAAAGGTTAAAACACATCCTTCTAATCATGGTTTCATGATTTCAACTTTTTTTTTTTTTGAGACAGAGTCTTTCTCTGTCACCCAGGCTGGACTGAAATGGTGCGATCTCGGCTCACTGCAACCTCCACCTCCTGGGTTCAAGCAATTATCCTGCCTCAGCCTCCAAAGTAACTGGGATTACAGGTGCCCATCACCACGCCCAGCTGATTTTTGTATTTTTAGTAGAGATGAGGTTTCACCATGTTGGCCAAGCTGGTCTCGAACTCCTGACCTCAGGTGATCCTCCCACCTCGGCCTCCAAAAGTGATGGGATTACAGGCATGAGCCACTGCTCCCAGCCGTGATTTAAACTTTCATAAACTCTAGAAAACAAACAAGCCCTTTGGCATCAACACAGAGAACAGCCAGCAGGCTGATAGGAACTTACCATTTGAACTTTTGGCCAAATCCATACTGGGAAGAGTGGCCTGGATTCCAGAATCTAGTGGCTTCACAGAACAACTGCCAGAGACACAAGATACAACAAAACACAGGGTGGCCCACCCATCTCTCCAAATCCTGACCTCAGGTGATCCACCCGCCTGGCCACCGAAAGTGCTGGGATTACAGGCATGAGCCACTGAGCCTGGCCACACCCATTTCTTAAATACCTTTCTACTGAATCCCTTCATTAAATATTTAACACCACTTAAAAGGATTTTGAAGTAATTAGATTAAGGGTAAGATGAATTTTAAGTAGAAGTACAGATTCTACTACGTAATTTTGCATCTATCATGATACTTTTCCAAATATGACTTTGGTTCTCTGCTCTCTAGTTTCCACATATTTAAGCATTTTCTTCTCTGTGTTCAGGTTCTTTTATTTCTTAATTATTTTGACTTGTCCATGCTATTTAACGAATGGAGAGTCTCGCCTTATCTTGTACTTTTCACATTCTCCTCAGCTTTTCCTGCAACTTATTTTATTCCATCATCAATATGGTGGTCTGGCCATATGTCAAGTTAGCTAGTCTAAGGTTTGCAGTTTTTCCATCAAACATGAATGCAGGTGTTGCTATAAATGCATTTTGCATGTGTGATTAATATATAAAATCAATTGGCTTTACCCAAAACAGATTATTCACTGTAATGCGGGTGGGACTGGAGAGCAACTTTAGCTCCTGCCTGAGAGTGTCATCTTACCTTTCCCTACAAATTTCCTTCCTGCCTAGTCAGTCCCCACAATTGTGTAAGTCAGTTTCCTTGAAAACTGATTCTGTTACTCTGGTTGAATTTTGACTGACCCAGATATTGGTACAGTCAGTGGCTGTATAACAAAGAATGTTACAGATGAGTTTTCTGAATTGATTCTGGGTTTCTGAAATTGGTTCTCTAATCAAATAAACTTTAAGGGCACTGGCCAGGCACGGTGGCTCCCAACTGTAATCCCAACACTTTGGGAGGCCAAGGTGAGTGAATCACGAGTTCAAGAGTTCAAGACCAGCCTGACCAACATGGTGAAACCCCCGTCTCTACTAAAAACACAAAAATTAGCCAGGCGTGGTGTGGGCACCTGTAATCCCAGCTACTCAGGAGGCTGAGGCAGAAGAATCGCTTGAGCCGGGAGGCAGAGGTTGCAGTGAGCCAAGATCACTCCACTGCACTCCAGCGTGGGTGACAGCAAGACTCCATCTCAAAAAAAAAAAAAACTTTAAAAGCACTAATGACCAGTTCCAGTAATAGAGAGGGCACTGGGTTCATCACTAAATGTGGCAATTTATCACCATTGGACACTCCTAATCAAACCTACAGAAAGCATCAGAGGCTAACACTGAGTCCCCAGTATGGCACCATCACCCAGGGTGATAAGCTATACCTAGAGGAAAAATAATTACATTAGACCACTACCATTGTAGAAGGAATGAAGTTTGTTCTTACTGGAATAGACATGCTGCATATGCTTTTGCCTTCCCTGCACCCAATCCTTCAGCCAAAAGAATTATCTGTAAACTGACAGAATGCCTTATCTGCTGTCATGGTACTCCATACAACATTGCTTCCAACCAAGGAGTTCAGTTCCTAGCAAGTGAGGTATAGCAATGGGCCCATGCTCATGGATTCACTGGTTTTGTCATGTTCCTCAGCATCCTACCTAAAGCAGATGACTTTTTTTTTTTTGGACAGTCTCACTCTGTTGCCCACGCTGGAGCACAGTGGCATGATCTCGGCTCCCTGCAACCTCCACCTCCTTTGTAGCTGGAATTACAGGCATGTGCCAACATGCCTGGCTAATTTTTGTATTTAGTAGAGATGGGGTTTTGCCATGTTGGCCAGGCTGCTCTCAAACTCCTGACCTCAGGAGATCTGCCCACCTCAGCCTCCCAAAGTGCTGGGATTACAGGTATGAGCCACCACGCCTGGCCCAGTTGACTTTAAATAAGTGGTCTTGATTGTTGAATTAATCAGTTGGAAAAAAGGCCTTCAAAGCAGAACTGAGTCTTCCATAAAAAAAATTCTGCCTATGAACAACAGGATCAGCTCTTGCCCAACCTTTCCTATGGACTTTGGACTTTCTCAAGTGATCCTCCACAATCACATAAGCCAGTTCCTTGCAACAAATCTCTAAATACATACTAGTTCCCTTTCTTGGTTGATACTCTGATGGATACAATCATCCCATTGTTTATTTTGGTAAAATGACATAATAGGAAAACTTATATGGGTAGATTTGTCTCTGGAGATAGGCCATGGGTGATACAAAACTTCTTCGAATCCTAGAAAGATGGCAGACGGGCTGGGCACAGTGGCTTATGCCTGTAATTCCAACAGTTTGGGAGGCCGAGGTGGGCAGATTACGAGGTCAGGAGTTTGAGACCAGCCTAGCCAACATGATGAAATCCCATTTCTACTAAAAATACAAAAATTAGCCTAGCATGGTGGCACATGCCCGTAGTTCCAACTACTCAGGAGGCTGAGGCGGAGAACTGCTTGAACCTGGGAGGTGGAGGTTGCAGTGAGCCAAGGTAGCACCACTGCACTCCAGGCTGGACAACAGAGACTCCGTCTCAAAAAAAAAAAAAAGAAAGAAAGAAAGAAAAAAGAAAGCTGGCAGCCCATCTTATGCCACTGTAAATTTTTGGTAAATCTATGTCAGTTGTGAATACCTGGAAGGCAGAAGTGAGGAAAATAATGAAAGCAGAATATCACGATAATGACTCACCTGCTCTTAGCTGGTACTGTACATAAGGTATATATTGTACATACAGTACATATTATACATAGGGTATATATTATACATAGGGTATATGAAGAAAGAAATGAGTTCAGAAAGAAATATTTTGCTTAAGAGGGCGAAGGAAATGGAATAGAAAGAATACATCACTGGCCCGGCGCGGTGGCTCACGCATGTAATCTCAGCACTTTTGGAGGCCGAGGCGGGCGGATCACGAGGTCAGGAGATAGAGACCATCCTGGCAAATGTGGTGAAATCCAGTCTCAACTAAAAATACAAAAAAATTAGCCAGGTCTGGTGGCAGGCGCCTGTAGTACCAGCTACTAGGGAGGCTGAGGTAGGAGAATGGCATGAACCCGGGAGGGAGAGCTTACAGTAAGCCGAGATCACGCCACTGCACTCCAGCCTGGGTGACAGAGCAAGACTCCATCTCAAAAAAAAAAAAAAAAAGAAAGAAAGAAAGAATACGTCACTGTAAGGTAAAACCTACAGATATACAGATATCTTTTCTCATTTTAAATAAGGAAATAAAAGCATAGAGGCCCACATCCTAACAACAACTATATATATACTCAAACCTGGGTTATGGCCATCACACCATTGCTTTAAAGCAAAAAGGTGCAATGTGGACAACTACAAGCCACTGGAGGGTACTTCGTCCATGACGAGGAAACAAAGTATTGAGTAAGCCTTCACAATTCAAACAGCTCTTCAGAAAACACTGAGGGTCAATGGAGAGGCCACACATACACCATGGTTTTAGAGGGAGGAAGCTCACAGCCTACTCAGAGTTGCCGGGTGCCAGGACCAGTCCCCGGACCTGGACCAGATCTAAGGAGGTGGTGATGAAGGAACTTCAGACATCACATTCCCTCCATGGACCCCTGTGATCCTAGCTACAGGAGTTCCCACGATCCCCATAGACATTTTGACTTCCAGGGAGAGCCGCCTGGAGAACAAGCAGAGGCACAGCTTGAACCTGAGCAAAGCACAGAAGGCTTCACTGAGCTGTGCCGTGGTAGCAAAACACAACCATAAACGCTGATTTCCGAAGACGCTTCGTCTTGCACTGAGTGTGGGACCGAGGTGCATCTGGACCACACTCCCCCTACCACCTCACTCCCACTACCTCCCAGTCCCTCCCAAGACTGCCCACCTGGCCAGTCTCACAGAAGGATACCCACAGCACACCTCCACTGCACTGCACAGAGAAGAGTGCTATGTGGGTCCATGTGCCAGCATGGGAGCTGGGTGCCCCTCCCTTTGCAAGACTGGACTGGGAAGGGCATGGCCTGATAGCCCAGGCTTCTCCCCCATGGGGTGTCATGGCTGAGTATGCCTGGAACGGCTCACCAACCTGGATGCAGACAGCTGAGAACAAGCCTAGCCTGCTGGGCCTGCTGTCAGTGTGGATGCCAGAGGGAGACTCACCAGGTCAGGAGAGCATGAGCTGGGCAGGCCTCACAGTCACTTGCAGGGCTGAAAACCCCAGGTCACAGGTAGCATAACAGTTGTACACCACTGGTGCCACTGCATTGCCTAACTGCCCACAGACATACCCCACAACCCACTTGACTCCAGCAAGCACAGGGGACCAGAGAGAGGTCACAGAGGAGTTGTGGATCCCTTGGTGTCATAACCCTCTGTGCAGTCCACTCAAGGTTGGGGGAGTGCAGCCCACCAAAGCCCCCTTTGGAACAAAAGAAACATGGCCACAGCACTAGTCACCGAAGGGGTCACCATAAGAGCCTGGGAATGGACATGGAGAGGGTGTCATCTCTTGCCTCTCATCTCCCCTCCCCAGTGCACTGTTGCAGATGAGGCAGGGGCACTTCCACTTGGGACCCAGGAAGCATGTGATGAAAGAGGCTGCTCTGGCCAGGCGTGGTGGCTCATCCCTGCAATCCCAGCACTTTGGGAGGTGGAGGTGGGCAGATCACCTGAAGTCAGGAGTTTGAGACCAGCCTGACCAACATGGAGAAACCATGTCTCTACTAAAAATACAAAGTTATCCGGGCATTATGGTGCACGCCAGTAATCCCAGCTACTCGGGAGGCTGAGGCAGAAGAATTGCTTCAACCCGGGAGGCTGAGGTTGCAGTGAGGCAAGATCGCATCATTGCACTCCAGCCTGGGCAACAAGAGTGAAACTCGGTCTCAAACAAACAAGAAAACTAAAAATAGAATCACCATTCACCCAGCAATCCCACTACTAGATAGATGCCTAAAGGAAAATAAACATTCTACCCAAAAGACACCTGCATTTGTATGCTTATCACAGCACTATTCACAATAGTAAAGACATGAAACCAACATAGGTGCCCATCAGTGGTGTACTGGATAAAGAAAATGTGGTACATACACACCATGGAATACTACACAGCCATAAAGAGAATTAAATCATAGACTTTGCAGCAACATGGATGCAGCTAGAAACTATTATTCTAGCAAATTAAAGTAGAAACAGTAAACCAAGTATTGCATGTTTTCACTTATAACCCAGAGTTAAACCCTGGGTACACACAGACATAAAGATGAGAACAAAAGACACTGGGTACTCCAAAAGAGGAGGAGGAAGGGAGGTGGGAAGGTTTGAAAAGCTATCTATAGGATACTAGGTTCACTTTTTGAGTGACAGGATCAATAATAGCCTAAACCTCAGGACAATTGATTTGCAGTATGTACAAATACATCCATGTAACTAACCTGCACATGAAACTCTGAATCTAAAACAAAAACTAAAGTAAAATAAAGCAATGACTGGATTAAAACTTCTACCAAGAGATCATTTCAGTTGTCTACACTACTACAGAGGAAAAATAGTGTGTGCTTTTGCTACAACTGATGAGCTCAAAATAATTAAGAGAAAGAAGAAATAGTGAATTGGGGAAGTAACTAACTGTATCTGGAGCTACATCTAATCAGCTGCATTAAATGGCCTTTATCAAGTATTTTATATGTGTCTGTGGATGGTATAAGTGTGTTATTTCATTGAAAATACTACAAATATTTACAAAGAATACTTCACTTAAATTTCACAGTTGCTAAGAAAATGGTACTTGCAAAACTGACATATATAAAGAAATAAGAGTCTCTTCAAAAGAGATGGTAAATTGTAAATATAAAATATATCACAATGTTAAAATCCTCATAGTGCAAATCAATAAAGATAACAATCTTTGGAGAGGAAAGTATTGAGCTTTACAAATTTACTGTAAATTTACATATTAATTCAACAAGGAATACTTTTAAACCTTGCATTGCCACAGAATTACTTTGTGGGGAAAAAAAATGAGGTACTTTTTGAATGTGTGTACATCAAATCCAAAATGTTAACTTTTACTTTTTCCTTTATAGGCAACTTTGGATGCATTTTTCGGTTTTGGTTCCCAGAGGGCATTTCTTACAAATCTTGAAGCTGCACCTCTGTCCAGCTTGCCAGCCTTTTTCTTGTCTGCTATTTCCTTGACTCTGTTCATATATACTCTGATTCTTTCCAATTCCTGCTTTACTGAATGTTCCTTAGGATTCACTCCTTGAGTTGCCAAATAAGCCCAAAACATTGAATTTAATATGTATGCAGAAACCAAATCCACTTTTGCTTGTTCAAGTGGGTCCAACTTCTGCAACAACTCATTTCTAGAAACAGACATCATGTTCTTCAGCATCTCATCCACAGCATCAATGGAATTCGCAAATGCTGACAAATAATCGTGAATTTCTACTGGATAGTCCTCATTAATTTCTTCAGCTGCCCTTATGGCTGAAGCACGGCCTTTGACTCCAGTCTCCTAGAAAGCGGTCAGGCAACGATGACATCAATGACGTGCCAGATCTAGAACAGAGTCTTTTAAAAGTATTTCTCTACATTCCCAGAAATACATTTATTATAATTGCATCTTATGGCCCTTTTTTCAACAGAAGTAAAATTTCTGGACCATTAGAAGAGCACAAAATTTATTTTCTAAATGAAATATTCAAGGACACTTGTCATTCTCTCAGGCTCAAAGCCTAAAGAGGTACACCAATAAGACAAGATTCATTATCACATTGAAGATCATGGGGAGATGTTTGCTCAGGTGGTCACGTGATGTGCAGAAACAGAGGGAGACACAATTGAACCAAATAAATAAAGATGCAGGCTGGGCGCAGTAGCTCAGCCTGTGATCCCAAGACTTCAGGAGGCTGAGGCAGCAGATTGCTTTAACCTAGCAGTTCCACATTTATATATATAATGTATATATAAATATGTTATATATAATATATATGTTATATGTATTATATATATGTTATAATCATATATGTATATATAATGTAATCCCAGCTACTCAGGAGGCTGAGGCAGGAGAATGGCTTGAACCCGGGAGGTCGAGGTTGCAGTGAGCCAAAATCGTGCCACTGCACTCCAGCCTGGGAGACAGAGCGAGACTCCATCTCAGAAAAAAAAAAAAAACTATATATATATATATATATATAAAATACACACACACTATATATATATATAAACTATATATATAAGCTATATATATATATATAAGCTATATATAAGCTATATATATATATATATAAGCTATATATAAGCTATATATATATATATAAGCTATATATATATAAAGAAATAAAGCCCCAATGTTTTCTACATGTGGAAGAAAAGATAGAGTGACCCAAATGTTTCTTCATCCTTGAGTAGTGGTAGATAATTTGTACTTTCAGAGAAAAGCACGAAAGGTAAAAGAAAAGCCTCTTTGGATTTACTTTTCCATGTCCTAAAGTACTTTTCAATTAAAAGTGAAGACCAATCAATCCTCTCAGGGCCATTGTAAGGCACAGCACTTGGTTTCAATGAATAAGAGGACATCACAGATTTGTCCCTCACCAGTGAGGGGTGAGATATTCCAATCCTGCAAGCACAGGGTCATGTTGAAACCATCTTCAAGAAAACAGAACCAGGGCTGGGCGTGGTGGCTCATGCCTGTAATCCCAGCAATTTGGGAGGCTGAGGCAGGTGAATCGCCTGAGGTCAGGAGTTCCATACCAGCCTGGCCAACATGGTGAAACCCCATGTCTAATAAAAATACAAAAATTAGCTGGGCGTGGTGGTGGGTGCCTATAATCCCAGCTACTCCAGAGGCTGAGGCAGGAGAATCACTTGAACCCGGGAGCTGGAGGTTGCAGTGAGCCAAAATCCTGCCACTGCACTCCAGCCTGGGAGACAGAGGGAGACTCCATCTCAGAAAAAAAAAAAAAAAAACAGAACCAGATTTCCCACTGGCACTGACAGGGCTGGTATTCTTAAAGCAGTAACTTTGAATTTGTATCTGGACACATTTCCATAATTAAAAGAAAGAAAAGAAAAAATAAAAATAAAACAACAACAAGAACAAAACATAAAACAAAGAAAAAGAGATATCTCAAGGTTACTTTACATCACTAGGCCTACACCCAAGGGTAGAGACCAAAGCACCAGCTGTTCTTCAGAGAAGAAACACGATGATCCAGATGAAAGAAAGATGTTTCCCAATGGGCTCAGATGTCCTTTTAGAATCAAGGGAATGTCCCTAGTACATGCCAAATCACTACTTAAAGTTTATCTGGTGGGGCATGGTGCCTCATACCCATAATCCCAGCACTTTGGGAGGTCAAGGCATGAGGATCACTTGAGCCCAGGAGTTTGAGGCCAGCCCTGGCAACACAGCAAGACCCCATCTCTACAAAAAATAAAACGACTAGCTGGTGTGGTGGTGCGACCTGTAGTCCCAGCTACTCAGGAGGCTGGAGTGAGAAGATCACTTGAGGCTGAGAGTCAGGGCTGCAGTGATTACAGGCATGAGCCACCGTGCCTGGCCTTTTTTTTTTTTTTTTTTTCATCATGTAATACGTCCATGTAATGAAATTTATTTCTTACAGTGCTGAAGGCTGGGAAGTCCACAGTCTCTGGGCCGCAGCTGGTTGGCTTCTGGCAAGGGCCTCATCCTGCATCATAACATGGTGGACAGCATCACATGGAGGGAAGTCGCAGGAGACAGAGCCGAACAGGCTTTTATAACAGACCCACTCTCATGATAATTCACACACCATTATTCCTACTCACCCATTAACCCACTCACTCAGGAATGGATTCACCCATTCATGAAGGCAGGGACCTCATGATCCAATTATCTCTTAAAGGACCCACCTCTTAATCCTGTTACTTTGCAGACTAAGTTTCAGCATGAATTTCAGAGAGGACAAACAAATCATAGCACCATTTTAGTCAAATACACCTCAATAAGAATTTCACCATTTTACTTAATCTTTTCAGTGAATAAAGTATTTGATTTTGCAATTAGATTTTGATTATGGGATAGAATGTGCAAAGAAATAAACTTTTGTAGAAACCACAATAGTTCTTTTTATTTCCACCTATCAGTCTAGGTGTTTATAAAACTCAACTTGACTTTTTAAAAAATTATAGAATGGACATGGCAACAGGCAGATATTACTCCATGAGACTCAGCTTCTCCTGTTCTTTTTTTTTTTTTTTTTGAGACAGAGTCTTGCTGTGTTGCCCAGGCTGAAGTGCAGTGGCATGATCTTGGCTCGCTGCAACCTCCGCTTCCCAGGTTCAACCAATTCTCCTGCCTCAGCTTCCCAGGTAGCTGGGATTACAGGCACAGGTCACCACGCCTGGCTAATTTTTTGGTATTTTTATTAGAGACTGGGTTTCACCATGTTGGTCAGTCTGGTCTCAGACTCCTGACCTCAAACGATCTGCCCACCTCAGCCTCCCAAAATGGCTTCTCCTATTCTTGAAGAAATCAACACATCTACAGCTGACATTTCAACTATTGTTGTGATGGGCTACCAAGGGCATATAGTGACAGAAGATCTAAGATCCAGATGGAGCACTGTAAGTTGATAGAAACACCAGTGAAATTTCCTATAGGAATTTCTCTTGGCCACATCATATCTGAGCTAAGAACTATAACCCACTTTTCAAAAGAGTGAATATTTTATTCACCTGAAAGCTGTGCATATCTGGACTCCAACTGGACAGGGGAGGCCGCAGAGGGGCAGGCTAGTTCCTTTAAGGAGACACCATGAGATGACCAGGGACTATCCAAACTATCCATATCCCCACAGCAGGCTCCCCACTGCACCTGGACTGCCACCTGCCACCCTTCTACTTCTCTCCAACCTTGGTTTCCAGCTGGAGCTGGTTGGAGAGTGGAGGGACTACGCTGTGAGCCCTGGAGACTCTGTGTGGGGTACATACTCCTTTGTTTGGAACCAAACACAAATTATCAACTCCTGTTAGCAAGAGACCATGAGGTCAGTGAAAGAAAAAGAAAAAGCCCTTTTTTTTTTCTTTTTTTTTTTTTTTTCCGTTTTTTGAGACCAGGTCTCACACTCTCACCTAGGCTGGAGTGCAGCAGCACGTTCTTGGTTCACTGCAACCTCTGCTTCCTGGGCTTAAGCAATTCTCCAGCATCAGCCTCCTGAGCCCCTGAAATTATAGGCATGGATCACCACACCAGGCTAATTTTTATATTTTTTGTAGAGATGGGGTTTCACCATGTTGTCCAGACTGGTCTCAAATTCCCGAGCTCAAGTGATCTGCCCGCCTTAGCCTTCCAAAGTGCTGGGATTACAGGCATGACCTACTGCACCCGGCCTAAAGGCTTTATTGTCTATAACAATAAATAAACAAAAAGATCTATGGATCGGGGAGACACAGGCTCCAGTGTAAGACAAAAATTGAGCTCCAAAGAACAAAAAGAGGTCTAGGGAAAGGTCCTGCCCTAGACGTCAATATGGTCTGTACATGCAAATGAGGATTGAAACTGGTTCAGACCTCACTGGTTGAAAATAACTGTGTCTCAGTTGGGTAGTTTCTAAGCCCAAAGCCAGTGGTCTCTGTAGGGTGCCCCTTTCAAGCAGCTGGCAGGAGATTTCCAGCCACGTGTCTCGGCTCTGGTTTCAGAAGCCATCTTAGCTCAGAGGTACAAACAGGATGTTTGTCTAGAGCTGCCCTCTCCTGGAAAGAGGAAGGCATGACTGCTCTTCTCTCACCCCACCATGGCCCCTTGGCTCCCATCATCTTCATTTGAGTGTCACTTTCAGCCACAAGACGTCCTTCTCCTCTGGAGAGCTTGGGGTCATCCTTAGAGCTTCATTTCAGACTCCCAACTTGCACAAAGTCCCAGTTGCTCCTGCTAGGGAATGAGGCCCAACATTCCCACCAGAACCAGGCTCAGACCTTTCTCTCCAAAGCTAAAATACAATCTCAAGTAATGACAAGCCAATCCCAATTCTGCCTCTAGGCACTAACTCCCCATTTTTGGCTCCAAAGACAGGGCCACCTTTTGAAACCACCTTTGCAAAATTATGACAGTAATTTGAGTCTGACATAATTGACTCTATCTTGTTTCTAACCTCCAAGCTATGTTCAGTCATTCCTGGACATAGATCAAGCTGCTGACTTTGGGAGAAATGTAGCTTATAGTTTTTTTTATTTGACTTGATTATTTTATTTTATTTTATTTTTTTGAGAAGAAGTTTTGCTCTGTCGCCCACACTGGAGTGCAGTGCACTCGGGTCACTGCAACCTCTGCCTCCCAAGCCTAGCCAGTTGGGCCTGCTGCCACTGCGAATGCCAGAGGGAGACTCACCAGGTCAGGAGAGCATGAGCTGGGCAGGCCTCACGGCCACATGCAGGGCTGATAACCCCAGGTCACAGGTAGCATAACAGTTGTACACCACTGGTGCCACTGCATTGCCTAACTGCCCACAGACATACCCCACAACCCACTTGACTCTAGGAAGCACAGGGGACCACAGAGATGTCACTGGGGAGTTGCGGATCCCTTGGTGTCATAACCCTCTGTGCAGTCCCCTCAAGGTTGGGGGAGTGCAGCCCACCAAAGCCACCTTTGGAACAAAAGAAACATGGCCACAGCACTAGTCACTGAAGGAGTCACCATAAGAGCCTGGGAATGGACATGGAGAGGGTGTCATCTCTTGCCTCTCATTTCCCCTCCCCAGTGCACTGTTGCAGATGAGGCAGGGGCACTTCCACTTGGGACCCAGTAAGCACGTGATGAAAGAGGCTGCTCTGGCCGGGCGTGGTGGCTCATCCCTGCAATCCCAGCACTGTGGGAGGTGGAGGTGGAGGTGGGCAGATCACCTGAGGTCAGGTGTTCTAGACCAGCCTAACCAACGTGGAGAAACCCCATCTCTAGTAAAAATACAAAATTAGCTGGGCGTTGTGGTGCACACCTGTAATCCCAGCTACTCAGGAGGCTGAGGCAGGAGAATTGCTTCAATCCGGGAGGCGCAGGTTGTAGTGAGCCGAGATCACGCCATTGCACTCCAGCCTGGGCAACAAGAGTGAAACTCAGTCTCAAACAAACAAGAAAACTAAAAATAGAATTACCATTCAACCCAGCAATCCCACTACTAGATATATGCCTAAAGGAAAATAAATAATTCTACCAAAAGACACCTGCATTCCTATGCTTATCACAGCACTATTCACAATAGTAAAGTCATGAAACCAACTTAGGTGCCCATCAGTGGTGTACTGAATAAGGAAAATGCGGTACATATACACCATGGAATACTACACAGCCATAAAAAGAATGATATCATAGACTTTGCAGCAACATGGATGCAGCTAGAAACCATTATTCTAAGAAAATTAATGCAGAAACAAAAAACCAAGTATTGCATGTTTTCACTTATAACTCAGAGTTAAACCCTCGGTGCACACAGACATAAAGATGAGAACAAAAGACACTAGGTACGCCAAAAGAAGAGAAGGAAGGGGGGGAGGAAAGGGTTGAAAAACTATCTATAGGATACTAGGTTCACTTTTTGAGTGACAGGATCAATAAAAGCCCAAACCTCAGGACAATTGATTTGCAGTATGTGCAAATATATCCATGTAACTAACCTGCACATGAAACTTCAAATCTAAAATAAAAAATAAAATAAAATAAAGCAATGACTGGATTAAAACTTCTACCAAGAGATCATTTCAGTTGTCTACACTACTACAGAGGAAAAATAGTGTGTGCTTTTGCTACAACTGATGAGCTCAAAATAAATAAGAGAAAGAAGAAATAGACAGTGAATTGGGGAAGTAGCTAACTGTATCTGGAACTGCATCCAATCAGCTACATTAAATGGCCTTTATTGAGTATTTTATATGTGTCTGTGGATGGCATAAGTGTGTTATTTCATTGAAAATAGTACAAATATTTTCAAAGAACATTTCACTTAAATTTCACAGTTCCTAAGAAAATGCTACCTGCAAGACTGACCTACATAAAGAAATAAGAGTCTCTTCAAAAGAGATGGTAAATTGTAAATATAAAATATATCACAATGTTAAAATCCTCATAGTGCAAATCAATAAAGATAACAACCTTTGGAGAGGAAAGTATTGAGCTTTACAAATTTACTGTAAATTTACATATTAATTCAACAAGGAATACATTTAAACCTTGCTCTGTCACAGAATTACTTTGTGGGAAAAAAAGAGATGTACTTTTTGAATATGTGTACATCAAATCCAAAAAGTTAACTTTTACTTTTTCCTTTATGGGCAACTTTGGATGTATTTTTCGGTTTTGGTTCCCAGAGGGCATTTCTTACAAATCTTGAAGCTGCACCTCTGTCCAGCTTGCCAGCCTTTTTCTTGTCTGTTATTTCCTTGACTCTGTTCATATATACTCTGATTCTTTCCAATTCCTGCTTTACTGGATGTTCCTTAGGATTCACTCCTTGAGTTGCCAAATAAACCCAAAACATTGAATTTAATGTGTATGCAGAAACCAAATCCACTTTTGCTTGTTCAAGTGGGTCCAACTTCTGCAACAACTCATTTCTAGAAACAGACATCATGTTCTTCAGCATCTCATCCACAGCATCAATGGAATTCGCAAATGCTGACAAATAATCGTGAATTTCTACTGGATAGTCCTCATTAATTTCTTCAGCTGCCATCATGGCTGACTCACGGCCTTCGACTCCAGTGTCCTAGAAAGCAGTTGGGCAATGATGACATCAATGACGTGCCAGATCTAGAACAGAGTCTTATAAAAGTATTTCTCTACATTCCCAGAAATACATTTATTATAATTGCATCTTATGGCCCTTTTTTCAACAGAAGTAAACTTCCTGGAACATTGGAAGAGCACAAAATTTATTTTCTAAATGAAATATTCTAAGACGCTTGTCATTCTCTCAGGTTCAAAGCCTAAAGAGGTACACCAATAAAACAAGATTCACTATCCCATCGAAGATCATGGGGAGATGTTTGCTCAGGTGGTCACGTGATGTGCAGAAACAGAGGGAGACACAATTGAACTAAATAAAGAAAGACGTAGGCTGGACGCAGTAGCTCAGCCTGTGATCCCAAGACTTTAGGAGGCCAAGGCAGCACACTGCTTGAACCTAGGAGTTCTACATATATATATATATATATATATATAAAATATATATACATAATATAAATATATATTTTATAAATATAAACATATATTTATATACATTATATATAAATATATATTTATATATAATATATTATAAATATAAATATATGTAATATAAATATATATATAATATGTATATATATATTAAAAATATGTAATCCCGGCTACGTGGGAGGCTGAGGCAGGAGAATCGCTTGAACTCAAGAGGTAGAGTTTTCAGTGAGCCGAAATCTTGCCACTGCACTGTAGCCTGGGAAACAGAGGGAGACTCCATCTCAGAAAAAAAAAAACAGAACCAGATTTCCCACTGGCACTGACAGGGCTGGTATTCTTAAGGCAGTAACTTTGAATTTGCATCTGGACACATTTCCATTATTAAAAGAAAAAAAAGAAAAAATAAAAATAAATAAAACAACAAGAACAAAACATAAAACCAAGAAAAAGAGATGTCTGAAGATTACTTTACATCACTAGGCCTACACCCAAGGGTAGAGACCAAAGCACCAGCTGTTCTTCAGAGAAGAAACACGATGATCCAGATGAAAGAAAGATGTTTCCCAATGGGTTCAGATGTCCTTTTAGAATCAAGGGAATGTCCCTAGTATATGCCAAATCACTACTTAAAGTTTATCTGGTGGGGCATGGTGCCTCATACCCATAATCCCAGCACTTTGGGAGGTCGAGGCATGAGGATCACTTGAGCCCAGGAGTTTGAGGCCAGCCCTGGCAACACAGCAAGACCCCATCTCTACAAAAAATAAAACGACTAGCTGGTGTGGTGGTGCGACCTGTAGTCCCAGCTACTCAGGAGGCTGGAGTGAGAAGATCACTTGAGGCTGAGAGTCAGGGCTGCAGTGATTACAGGCATGAGCCACCGCGCCCGCCTTTTTTTTTTTTTTTTTTTCATCATGTAATACGTCCATGTAATGAAATTTATTTCTTACAGTGCTGGAGTCTGGGAAGTCCACAGTCCACGGGCTACAGCTGGTTGGCTTCTGGCAAGGGCCTCATCCTGCATCATAACATGGTGGACAGCATCACATGGAGGGAAGTTCGCAGGAGACAGAGCCGAACAGGCTTTTATAACAGACCCTCTCTCATGATAATTCACTCCCCATTATTCCTACTCACCCATTAACCCACTCACTCAGGAATGGATTCACCCATTCATGAAGGCAGGGACCTCATGATCCAATTATCTCTTAAAGGACCCACCTCTTAATCCTGTTACTTTGCAGACTAAGTTTCAGCATGAATTTCAGAGAGGACAAACAAATCATAGCACCATTTTAGTCAAATACACCTCAATAAGAATTTCACGATTTTACTTAATCTTTTCAGTGAATAAAGTATTTGATTTTGCAATTAGATTTTGATTATGGGATAGAATGCACAAATAAATAAACTTTGGTGGAAACTATAATTGTTTCTTTTTCTTCCACCTATCAGTCTAGGTATTCCTAAAACTCAACTTGACTTTTTAAAAAATTATAGAATGTACATGACATGCAAATAGGCAGATTTTTCCCCATGAGACTCAGCTTCTCCTATTCTTTTTTTTTTTTTTTCTGAGACAGAGTCTTGCTATGTTGCCCAGGCTGGAGTGCAGTGGCACGATCTCGGCTCACTGAAACCTCTGCTCCCCAGATTCAAGCAATTCTCCTGCCTCAGCCTCCAAAGTAACTGGGATGACTGGTTTCTGTCACCACACCCAGCTAATTTTTGTATTTTTAGTAGAAACAGGGTTTCACCATGTTGGTCAGCCAGGTCTGGAACTCCTGACCTCAGGTGATTCTCCCACCTCAGCCTCCCGAAGTGATGAGATTACAGGCTCGAGCCACTGCCTCCAGCTGTGACTTAAACTATCATAAACTCTAGAAAACAAGCCCTTTAGCATCAACACAGAGAACAGCCAGCAGGCTGATAGGAACTTACCATTTGAACTTTTGGCCAAATCCATACTGGGAAGGGAGGCCTGGATTCCAGAGTCTAGTGACTTCACAGAACAACTGCCAGGGACACAAGATACAAAAAAACGCAGGGTGGCCCACCCATCTCTCAAACTGCTGACATCAGGTGACCCGCCCCCCTCCGGACCCAAAGTGCTGGGATTACAGGCATGAGCCACTGAGCCTGGCCACACCCATTTCTTAAATACCTTTCTACTGAATCCCTTCATTAAATATTTAACACCACTTAAAAGGATTTTGAAGTAATTAGATTAAGGGTAAGATGAATTTTAAGTAGAAGTACAGATTCTACTACGTAATTTTTCGTCTATCATGATACTTTTCCAAATATGACTTTGGTTTTCTGCTCTCTAGTTTCCACATATTTAAGCATTTTCTTCTCTGAGTTCAGGTTCTTTTATTTCTTAATTATTTTGGCTTGGCCATGTTATTTCACAAATGGAGAGTCTCGCCTTACTTTATACGTTTCACATTCTCCGCAGCTTTTCCTGAAAAGTATTTTATCCCATCATCAATGTGGTGGTCTGGCCATATGTCAAGTTAGTTAGTCTAAGCTCTGCAGTTCATCCATCAAACATGAATGCAAGTGTTGCTATAAATGCATTTTGCATGTGTGATTAATATATAAAATCAATTGGCTTTACCCAAAACAGATTATTCACTGTAATGCGGGTGGGACTGGAGAGCAACTTTAGCTCCTGCCTGAGAGTGTCAGCTTACCTTTCCCTACAAATTTCTTTCCTGCCTAGTCAGTCCCCACAATTGTGTAAGTCAATTTCCTTGAAAACTGGTTCTGTTTCTCTGGTCGAATTTTGACTGACACAGATATTGGTCCTGTTAGTGGCTGTATAACAAAGAATGTTATAGATGAGTTTTCTGAATTGATTCTGGGTTTCTAAAATTGATTCTCTAATCAAATAAACTTTAAGGGCACTGGCCAGGCACGGTGGCTCAGGACTGTAATCCCAACACTTTGGGAGGCCAAGGTGAGTGAATCACGAGGTCAGGAGTTCAAGACCAGCCTGACCAACATGGTGAAACTCCCGTCTCTACTAAAAACACAAAAATTAGCCAGGCATGGTGGCAGGCACCTGTAATCCCAGCTACTCAGGAGGCTGAGGCAGGAGAATTGCTTGAGCCCGGAGGCAGAGGTTGCAGTGAGCCAAGATCGTGCCACTGGATGCCAGCCTATGTGACAGCAAGACTCCATCTCCAAAAACAAACAAACAAAAACAAACTTTAAAAGCACTAATGACCAGTTCCAGTAATAGAGAGGGCACTGGGTTCCTGACTAAATGTAGCAATTTATCACCATTGGACACTCCTAATCATACCTACAGAAAGCATCAGAGGCTAACACTGAGTCCCCAGTATGGCACCATCACCCAGGGTGATAAGCTATATCTAGAGGAAAAATAATTACATTAGACCACTACCATTGTAGAAGGAATGAAGTTTGTTCTTACTGGAATAGACACACTGGGTATGCTTTTGCCTTCCCTGCACTCAATCCTTCAGCCAAAAGAATTATCTGTAAACTGACAGAATATCTTATCTGCTGTCATGGTACTCCATACAACATTGCTTCCAACCAAGGAACTCACTTCCAAGCAAGTGAGTTATAGCAATGGGCCCATACTCATGGATTCATTGGTTTTGTCATGTTCCTTAGCATCCTAAAGGAGATGGCTTTTTATTTTTTTTTTTTTGACAGTCTCACTATGTTGCCCAGGCTGGAGTGCAGTGGCATGATCTCGGCTCCCTGCAACCTCCGTCTCCCAGATTCAAGGGATTTTCCTTCCTCAGCCTTCTGAGTAGCTGGAATTACAGGCACGTGTCATCACGCCTGGCTAATTTTCATATTTTTAGTAGAGACGGGGTTTTGCCATGTTTGCCAGGCCGCTCTCGAACTCCTGACCTCAGGTGATGTGCCTGCCTCAGCCTCCCAAAGTGCTGGGATTGCAGCTGTGAGCCACCTCGCCTGGCCCACTTGACTTTCAATAAGTGGTCCTGATTATTGAATTAATCAGTTGGAAAAAAGGCCTTCAAAGCAGAAGTGAGTCTTCCATAAAAAAATTCTGCCTATGAACAATGGCAGCAGTTCTTGTCCAACCTTTCCTATGGACTTTGGACTTTCTCAAGTGATCCTCCACAATCACATAAGCCAGTTCCTTGCAACAAATCTCTAAATATATACTAGTTCTCTTTCTTGGTTGATACTCTGATGAATACAATCATCCCATTGTTTATTTTGGTAAAATGACATAATAGGAAAACTTGTATGAGTAGATTTGTCTCTGGAGATAAGCCATGGGTGATACAAAACCTTTTTGAATCCTAGAAAGATGGCAGATGGGCTGGGCACGGTGGCTCATGACTGAAATTCCAACAGTTTGGGAAGCCGAGGTGGGTGGATCACTTAAGGTCAGGAGTTTGAGACCAGCCTAGCCAACATTACGAAACCCCATCTTGACTAAAGATGCAAAAATTAGCCCAGCATGGTGGCACATGCCTGTAGTTCCAACTACTCAGGAGGCTGAGGCAGAGAATCGCTTGAACCTGGGAGGTGGAGGTTGCAGTAGGCCGAGGTAGCACCACTGCACTCCAGGCTGGACAACAGAGACTCCCTCACCAAAAAAAGAAAAAAAAAAAGAAAGAAAGATGGCAACCCATCTTATGGCACTATAAATTTTTGGTAAATCTGTGTCAGTTGTGAATACCTGGAAGGCAGAAGTGAGGAAAATAATGAAAGCAGAATATCACTATCATGACTCACCCGCTCTTAGCTGGTACTGTACATGGGGTACATATTATACATAGGGTATATGAAGAAAGAAATGAGTTCAGAAAGAAACATTTTGCTTAAGAGGGTGAAGGAAATGGAACAAAAAGAATACATCACTGTAAGGTAAGACCTACAGATGTTTTTTCTCATTTTAAATAAGGAAATAAAAACATAGAGGCCCACATCCTAACAACAACAACTGTGTATATACTCAAACCTGGGTTATGGCCATCACACCATTGCTTTAAAGCAAAAAGGTGCAATGTGGACAACTACAAGCCACTGGAGGGTACTTCGTCCATGACGAGGAAACAAAGTATTGAGTAAGACTTCACATTTCAAACATCTCTTCAGAAAACACTGAGGGTCAATGGAAAGGCCAGACATACACCATGGTTTTAGAGGGAGGAAGCTCACAGCCTACTCAGAGTTTCCAGGTGCCAGGACCAGTCCCCGGACCTGGACCAGATCTAAGGAGGTGGTGATGAAGGAACTTCAGACATCACATTCCCTCCATGGACCCCTGTGATCCTAGCTACAGGAGTTCCCACGATCCCCATAGACATTTTGACTTCCAGGGAGAGCCGCCTGGAGAACAAGCAGAGGCACAGCTTGAACCTGAGCAAAGCACAGAAGGCTTCACTGAGCTGTGCCGTGGTAGCAAAACACAACCATAAACGCTGATTTCCGAAGACGCTTCGTCTTGCACTGAGTGTGGGACCGAGGTGCATCTGGACCACACTCCCCCTACCACCTCACTCCCACTACCTCCCAGTCCCTCCCAAGACTGCCCACCTGGCCAGTCTCACAGAAGGATACCCACAGCACACCTCCACTGCACTGCACAGAGAAGAGTGCTATGTGGGTCCATGTGCCAGCATGGGAGCTGGGTGCCCCTCCCTTTGCAAGACTGGACCGGGAAGGGAATGACCTGATAGCCAAGGCTTCTCCCCAATGGGGTCTCATAGCTGAGAATGCCTGGAACAGCTCAGCAACCTGGATGCAGACAGCTGAGAACAAGCCTAGCCAGTTGGGCCTGCTGCCACTGCGAATGCCAGAGGGAGACTCACCAGGTCAGGAGAGCATGAGCTGGGCAGGCCTCACAGTCCCTTGCAGGGCTGAAAACCCCAGGTCACAGGTACCATAACAGTTGTACACCACTGGTGCCACTGCATTGCCTAAGTGCCCACAGACATACCCCACAACCCACTTGACTCCAGCAAGCACAGGGGACCAGAAAGAGGTCACTGGGGAGTTGCGGATCCTTTGGTGTCATAATCCTCAGAACAGTCCACTCAAGGTTGGGGGAGTGCAGCCCACCAAAGCCCCCTTTGGAACAAAAGAAACATGGTTGCAGCACTAGTCATTGAAGGGGTCACCATAAGAGCCTGGGATTGGACATGGAGAGGGCGTCATCTCTTGCCTCTTATCTCCCCTCCCCAGTGCACTGTTGCAGATGAGGCAGGGGCACTTCCACTTGGGACCCATTATACATGTGATGAAAGAGGCTGCTCCAACTGGGCGTGGTGGCTCACCCCTGCAATGCAAGCACTTTGGTAGGGAGAGGCAGGCAGATCACCTGAGGTCAGGAGTTTGAGATCAGGCTGACCAACATGGAGAAATCCCAACTCTACTAAAAATACAAAATTAGCTGGGCATGGTGGTGCATGCCTGTAATCCCAGCTACTCCAATGGCTGAGGCAGGAGAACTGCTTGAACCCAGGAGGCGGAGGTTGCAGTGAGCCAAGATCACGCCATTGCACTCCAGCATGGACGACAAGAGTGAAACTCGGTTGTAAGCAAACAAACAAACAAGAAAACTAAAAATAGAATCACCATTCAACCCAGAATTCCCACTACTAGATAGATGCCTAAAGGAAAATAAATCATTCCACCAAAAAGACACCTGCATTTGTATGCTTATCACAGCACTATTCACAAGAGTAAAGACATGAAACCAACCTAGGTGCCCATCAGTGGTGTACTGGATAAAGAAAATGTGGTACATACACACCATGGAATACTACACAGCCATAAAAAGAATGAAAACACAGACTTTGCAGCAACATGGATGCAGCTAGAAACTATTATTCTAAGAAAATTAATGCAGAAACAGAAAACCTAGTATTGCATGTTTTCCCTTGTAACTTGGAGTTAAACCCTGGGTACACACAGACATAAAGATGAGAACAAAAGACACTGGGTACTCCAAAAGAGGAGGAGGAAGGGAGGCGGGAAGGGTTGAAAAACTATCTATAGAATACTAGGTTCACTTTTTGAGTGACAGGATCAATAAAAGCCCAAACCTCAGGACAATTGATTTGCAGTATGTGCAAATATATCCATGTAACTAACCTGCACATGAAACTTCAAATCTAAAATAAAAAATAAAATAAAATAAAGCAATCACTGGATTAAAACTTCTACCAAGAGATCATTTCAGTTGTCTACACTACTACAGAGGAAAAATAATGTGTGCTTTTGCTACAACTGATAAGCTCAAAATAATTAAGAGAAAGAAGAAATAGACAGTGAATTGGGGAAGTGACTAATTGTATCTGGAGCTACATCCAATCAGCTACATTAAATGGCCTTTATTGAGTATTTTATATGTGTCTGTGGATGGTATAAGTGTGTTATTTCATTGAAAATAGTACAAATATTTACAAAGAATATTTCACTTAAATTTCACAGTTGCTAAGAAAATGGTACTTGCAAGACTGACCTATATAAAGAAATAAGAGTCTCTTCAAAAGAGATGGTAAATTGTAAATATAAAATATATCACAATGTTAAAATCCTCATAGTGCAAATCAATAAAGATAACAACCTTTGGAGAGGAAAGTATTGAGCTTTACAAATTTACTGTAAATTTACATATTAATTCAACAAGGAATAGTTTTAAACCTTGCACTGCCACAGAATTATTTTGTGGGAAAAAAAGAGATGTACTTTTTGAATATGTGTACATCAATATCAAAAAGTTAACTTTTACTTTTTCCTTTATGGGCAACTTTGGATGCATTTTTCGGTTTTGGTTCCCAGAGGGCATTTCTTACAAATCTTGAAGCTGCACCTCTGTCCAGCTTGCCAGCCTTTTTCTTGTCTGTTAATTCCTTGACTCTGTTCATATATACTCTGATTCTTTCCAATTCCTGCTTTACTGGATGTTCCTTAGGATTCACTCCTTGGGTTGCCAAATAAACTCAAAACATTGAATTTAATGTGTATGCAGAAACCAAATCCACTTTTGCTTGTTCAAGTGGGTCCAACTTCTGCAACAACTCATTTCTAGAAACAGACATCATGTTCTTCAGCATCTCATCCACAGCATCAATGGAATTCGCAAATGCTGACAAATAATCGTGAATTTCTACTGGAGAGTCATTAATTTCTTCAGCTGCCATCATGGCTGACTCACGGCCTTCGACTCCAGTCTCCTAGAAAGCGGTCAGGCAACGAAGTCTTCAATGAGGTGCCGGATCTAGAACTGAGTCTTTTAAAAGTATTTCTCTACATTCCCAGAAATACATTTGTTATAATTGCATCTTATGGCCTTTTTTTCAACAGAAGTAAAATTTCTGGAAGATTGGAAGAGCACAAAATTTAATTTCTAAATGAAATATTCAAGGACGCTTGTCATTCTCTCAGGCTCAAAGCCTAAAGAGGTACACCAATAAAACAAGATTCATTATCACATCGAAGATCATGGGGAGATGTTTGCTCAGGTGGTCACGTGATGTACAGAAACAGAGGGAAACACAATTGAACTAAATAAAGACGCAGGCTGGGCGCAGTAGCTCAGCCTGTGATGGCAAGATTTTAGGAGGCCAAGGCAGCAGATTGCTTTAACCTAGGGGTTCTACATATATATATAAAATATATAATATAAATATTTTATATATGCAATCCCATCTACTCGGGAGGCTGAGGCAAGAGAATCGCTTGAATGCCGGAGGTGGACTTTGCAGTCAGCCAAAATCTTGCCACTGCACTCCAGCCTGGGAGACAGAGCGAGACCCCATCTCAGGAAAAAAAAAAAAAAATATATATATATATATATATATATATATATATATGTATATGTATATGTATATGTATATGTATATGTATATGTATATATATAAAGAAATAAAGTCCCAATGTTTTCTACATGTGGAAGAAAAGGTAGAGTGACCCAAATATTTCTTCATCCTTGAGTAGTGGTAGATTATTTGTACTTTTAGAGAAAAGCACAAAAGGTAAAAGAAAAGCCTCTTTGGATTTACTTTTCCATGTCCTAAAGTACTTTTCAATCAAAAGTGAAGATCAATCAATCGTCTCAGGGCCATTGTAAGGAACAGCACTTTGTTTCAATGAGTAAGAGGGACATCACAGATTTGTCCCTCGCCAGTGAGGCGTGAGATATTCCAACCCTGCAAGCAGATGGAGATGTTGAAACTATCTTCAAGAAAACAGAACCACAGAACCAGGACTGGGCGTGGTGGCCCATGCCTGTAATGCCAGCACTTTGGGAGGCTGAGGCAGGTAAATCATCTGAGGTCAGGAGTTCCATACCAGCCTGGCCAGCATGGTGAAACCCCATCTCTAATAAAAATACAAAAATTAGCTGGGCGTGGTGGTGGGTGCCTATAATCCCAGCTACTCCAGAGGCTGAGGCAGGAGAATCGCTTGAACCCGGGAGCTGGAGGTTGCAGTGAGCTGAAATCCTGCCACTGCACTCCAGCCTTGGAGACAGAGCGAGACTCCATCTCAGAAAAAAAAGAGAAGAGAAAACAGAACCAGATTTCCCACTGGCACTGACAGGGCTGGTATTCTTAAAGCAGTAACTGTGAATTTCTATCTGAACACATTTCTATTATTAAAAGAAATAAAGAAAAGAAAAAATAAAAATAAATAAAACAACGACAAGAACACAACATAAAACCAAGAAAAAGAGATATCTCAAGGTTACTTTACATCACTAGGCCTACACCCAAGGGTAGAGACCAAAGCACCAGCTGTTCTTCAGAGAAGAAACACGATGATCCAGATGAAAGAAAGATGTTTCCCAATGGGTTCAGATGTCCTTTTAGAATCAAGGGAATGTCCCTAGTATATGCCAAATCACTACTTAAAGTTTATCTGGTGGGGCATGGTGCCTCATACCTATAATCCCAGCACTTTGGGAGGTCGAGGCAGGAGGATCACTTGAGCCCAGGAGTTTGAGACCAGCCCTGGCAATACAGCAAGACCCTGTCTCTACAAAAAATAAAACAACTAGCTGGTGTGGTGGTGCGCACTTATAGTCCCAGCTACTCAGGAGGCTGGAGTGAGAAGATCACTTGAGGCTGAGAGTCAGGGCTGCAGTGATTACAGGCATGAGTTACTGGGCCTGATCTTTTTTTTTTTTCATCATGTAATACATCCATGTAATGAAATTTATTTCTTACAGTGCTGGAGGCTGGGAAGTCCACAGTCCCTGGGCCGCAGCTGGTTGGCTTCTGGCAAGGGCCTCATCCTGCATCATAACATGGTGGACAGCATCACATGGAGGGAAGTCGCAGGAGACAGAGCCGAACAGGCTTTTATAACAGACCCTCTCTCATGATAATTCACACACCATTATTGCTACTGAACCATTAACCCACTCACTCAGGAATGCATTAATCCATTCAAGAAAGCAGAGACTTCATGATATAATTATCTCTTAAAGGACCCAAGTTTTAATCCTGTTACTTCACAGATTACGTTTCAGCAGGAATTTCAGAGAGGACAAACAAATCATAGGACCATTTTTTTCAATTACACTTCCATAAGAATTCCTCAATTTTACTTAATCTTTTCAGTGAATAAAGTATTTGATTTTGCAATTAGATTTTGATTATGGGATAGAAAGCACAAAGAAATAAACTTTTGTGGAAACCATGATTGTTTATTTTTCTTCCACCTATCAGTCTAGGTATTTATAAAACTCAACTTGACTTTTTAAAAAATTATAGAATGGGCATGCAAATAGGCAGATACTCCTCCATCAGAATCAGCTTCTCCTATTCTTTTTTTTCTTTTTTTTTTTTTTTTTTTGAGACAGAGTCTTGCTCTGTTGCCCAGGCTGAAGTGCAGTGGCATGACCTCGGCTCACTGCAACCTCCACTTCCCAGGTTCAAGAGATTCTCCTGCCTCAGCCTCCCAAGTTCCTGGGATTACAGGCACAGGCCACCTTGCCTGGCTAATTTTTTGATATTTTTATTAGAGACGGGGCTTCACCGTCTTGGTCAGGCTGGTCTCATACTCCTGACCTCAAATGATCTGCCCACCTCAGCCTCCCAAAGTGGCTTCTCCTATTCTTGAGGATATCAACACATCTACAGCTGACATTTCAACTATTATGATGGGCTACCAAGGGCATGAAGTGACAGAAGATCTAAGATCCAGATGGAGAACTGTAAGTTGATAGAAACACCAGTGAAATTTCCTATAGGAATTTCTTTTGGCCACATCATGTCTGAGCTAAGAACTATAACCCACTTTTCAAGAGAGTGAATACTTTATTTACCTGAAAGCTCTCCATACCTGGACTTCACCTGGACAGGGGAGGCTGCAGAGGGACAGGTTAGTTCCTTTAAGGAGACACCATGAGATGACCAGGGACTATCCAAACTATCCATATCCCCACAGCAGGCTCCCCACTGCACCTGGACTGCCACCTGCCACCCTTCTACTTCTCTCCAACCTTGGCTTCCAGCTGGAGCTGGTTGGAGAGTGGAGGGACTACACTGTGAGCCCTGGAGACTCTGTGTGGGGTACAAAGTCCTTTGTTTGCAACCAAACACAAATTATCAGCTCCTGTTAGCAAGAGACCATGAGGTGTGTGAAAGAAAAAGAAAAAAATCTTTTTTTTTTTTTTTTTGAGACCAGGTCTCACACTGTTACCCAGGCTGGAGTGCAGTGGCACGTTCTTGGTTCACTGCAACCTCTGCTTCCTGGGCACAAGCAATTCTCCAGCCTTGGCCTCCTGAGCAGCTGAGATTATAGGCTCAGACCACTGCACCACGCTAATTTTTGTATTTTTTGTACAGATGGGATTTCACTATGTTGTCCAGACTGGTCTCGAATTCCTGAGCTCAAGTGATCTGCCCACCTCAACCTTCCAAAGTGCTGGGATTACAGGCATGACCTACTGCGCCCGGCCTAAAGGCTTTATTGTCTATAACAATAAATAAATGCAAAATCTACGGATCGGGGAGACACAGGCTCCAGTGTAAGACAAAAATTGAGCTCCAAAGAACAAAAAGAGGTCCTGGCTTAAATAGGGAAAGGTCCTGCGCTAGACGTCAATATGGTCTGTACATGCAAATGAGGATTGAAACTGGTTCAGACCTCACTGGTTGAAAATAACTGTGTCTCAGTTGGGTAGTTTCTAAGCCCAAAGCCAGTGGTCTCTGTAGGGTGCCCCTTTCAGGCAGCTGGCAGGAGATTTCCAGCCACGTGTCTCGGCTCTGGTTTCAGAAGCCATCTTAGCTCAGAGGTGCAAACAGGATGTTTGTCTAGATCTGCCCTCTCCTGGGAAGAGGAATGCATGACTGCTCTTCTCTCACCCCACCATGGCCCCTTGGCTCCCATCATCTTCATCTGAGTGTCTCTTTCAGCCAGAAGACGTCCATCTCCTCTGGACGTCTTTAGAGCTTCATTTCACACTCCCAGCTTGCTCAAAGTTCCAATTGCCCCTGCCGGGGAATGAGGCCCAACATTCCCACCAGAACCAGGCTCAGACCTTTCTCTCTAGAGCCTAAAATACAATCTCAAGTAATGACAAGCCAATCTCAATTCTGCCTCTAGGCACTAACTCCCCATTCTTGGCTCCAAAGACAGGGTCACCTTCTGAAACCACCTTTGCAAAATTATGACAGTAATTTGAGTCTGACAAAATTGACTCCATCTTGTTTCTAACCTCCAAGCTATGCTCGGTCATTCCTGGACATAGATCAAGCTGCTGACTTTGAGAGAAATGTAGTTTATTTATTTTTATTTTATTGTTATTATTTATTTATTTACTTTTTGAGATGGAGTTTCGCTCTGTCGCCCAGGCTGGAGTGCAGTGCACTCGGCTCACTGCAACCTCCGCCTCCCGTGTTCAAGCAATTCTCCTGCCTAGGCCTCCTGAGTAGCTGGGACTACAGGCGCGTGCCACCACACCCGGCTAATTTTTGTATTTTTAGTAGAGACGGGGTTTCAGCATATTGGCTAGGCTGGTCTCGAACTCCTGGCTTCATGATCCACCCACCTTGGCCTCCCAAAGTGCTAGGATTACAGGCATGAGCCACCACGCCCAGCCCTGGTTCTGTTTTCTTGAAGATAGTTTCAACATGTACATCTGCTTGCAGGGTTGGAATACCTCACCCCTCACTGGTGAGGGACAAATCTGTGGTATCTCTTTTATTCATTGAATCAAAGTGCTGTGCCTTTGATTTTACAAGGTATGTTTCATAACTTTAAAGAAAAAAACATTTTTCTTCCTTATCCAAATGTAACTTTAGTAATTTAGTGAATGTAAACCCCATTCATTTTTTTGTATCTTTTCCATGTGTGAATGCAGGTATATATCGAAGAATAATAATTACTCGCTGCTTTATCCTTTATTTTCATGATTATCATATTATCAAACTACTCAATAACTCGATTTTTTACAAACAGTATGTCCGAGAACACTCACACAATTACACAGATCTAGGCCTTTTTTTTTTAAGCTGTCCTAGCTTCTTACATTATATGATGTGTCTTCTTTGGGCTCAGTGTTCTATAAGAATGTCCAAGAGTTTGTCTATGAGACACATCCAGTAACAGAATTGCTGGGCATCTATGACTTCAATAAATATTCCAATTGGCTGTCCAAAGTGATAGTGCAAATCACACTCATCACCTGCATTGGAGAGTTGCTCTTTACCTATTCTCAATCTTATAGTAAGAGAAGGAAGATATTTACAAAATGAAGTATGTCTGCATGTTATATGACTTGGAAATATGTGCAAAACATGCTTTATTCTGCAAATTAGTATCACATGACACAATTGGTTAGAATGTAAATATGAAAAACATCATACAATGTAGAAGAAGGAAGGGGAAGGGGGAATGGGGAAAGGAAAGGCAAGGGAAGGGATTATCAAAGTCTTTACAATATAGATTATATGATGAGTTTAGAGTTTTCAGGACTGTAAATTCAGAGTGCGAGAATAAAAGACCAAGCTTTTGTTTGGTTACTCTCTGTATTGCTTAAACTATCATAACATACATCATTTTGTAATTAATTAAATATTGTCAAGAAAACAAAATGGAAATAACACAAATTCTATGCAGTGGATGTGTTTTACACAAAGCCCCGAGGGAACCCTGCAGTTCAGGAAATGTTGCTCCTCTAGAAGGCAGGCGCCACTATGTGAAAGGCGCCCCCTAGTGGGAGGGATGCAGCCTGAAGCGCTGCACAGGGCAGCATTGGCAGGACCCGCTCTGATGGACAGAACTCCAGAATACTTGAGAAGTGATTCCACATCCTGAAGCTCAAAATTATGAAAATTGTTTCAAAGTTTGGGGCTTTTTTCCAAACACTCAGGTCAACACAAGGCATTCAACTTCTCGTCTGGGCACTCTCAGATCTTGTGGGCCCACGTCCAGAGGTGACTCAGTCAAAACACTGGTTCCAGGCAGCAGCTCTCAGTGAAGGGGGTGAGGAGGGGTCTGCACACCTGCTCTAGCACAGAAGCCCCCTGGGGCTCTTTACAGTGCAAAGCTGGGGCTGCAACTCCATCGGGAGTCCCTGTCTTCAACGGAGAAGCCTCAGGTGATTCTATGCCTTAAGTGTATGCAGGCTAGGCTGATGTTGGGATGTCCTTCACAGTCAGAGCTTTGGTGGGCTGTCTGTGAAAGGACACATGGCTGCTGTTCCAGCAGGCCACACATCATGGCTGGAGATGCTGTCCCGGTCGATGGAGATGACAGCTTTGCTGTAGCCACCTTAGACACCCCTCCATACAAAGTCTGGGCAGTGGGGTCCTTCATATTCTTGTACTGCTTGTTAGGTATCTTTTTTTTTTTTTTTTTTTTTTTTTTTTGAGATGGAGTCTCACTCTGTTGCCCAGGCTGGAGTGCAGTGGCGCAATCTCAGCTCACTGCAAGCTCTGCCTCCCGGGTTCAGGCCATTCTCCTGCCTCAGCCTCCCAAATAGTTGAGACTACAGGTGCCCGCCGCCACGGCTAGCTAATTTTTTTTTGTATTTTTTAGTAGAGACAGTGTTTCACCGTCTCTACTAAAGATCAAGGATGGTCTTGATCTCCTGACCTGGTGATCCACCCACCTCAGCCTCCCACAGTGCTGTTGTTAGGTATCTTCTAAGGAGGAGACAATGTCTGAGACAGGGACTGTGCAGAGCCTCTGTCTTCTGAAGCACAGATTGCTTTGGATTTGGCAACTGCTGTCATTTGGGGGTTGCCTTGCTTGCTGCCTTGGTGCTTGTTAGTTTTGTTCTCCATACTCTAGCTCCACCTTCTCAGGACACTGCTGCCCTACCAGAAGAGACCAGCAGCTCACAGAGCCTTCCTGAGTTCAGCATCTTTATGTGCAAGCTCTGCAGAGCCCTTTTCCTCAGGCTTCTGTGTGGATGGTTGTGGGATGACCTGTGGATGATGCTCTCTGAAGCCTAGCACCATTTCCTAGAAACACAGTCCTGGTCCCAGCAGTAAACACTTGCAGACTTCTCATCCAAGAGCTGCTGGATTTGGGAACTGGGTTGCTCTGCAGCCAGCTATGTTGCTGCATATCTTACCCAAGAGGCGTTTGTGGAGATCTGATCACTATTTGCAAAGGTGTGTGCCACAACTGAGAGCACAGGGACTCTCCATTACTTGGGAACATCAACCATGCTGCTGGGACTGAAGGGAAAGTGCCTGCTTCCCTAAATCCTGTGACTCATATACATTAGAACCTGATCCTGGAAGACCAGCTTCTCCTGGTAATTCTGAGGCTGAGGCTGCTCATGATGACATTCCCAACCATTCTGCTGATGTCCTTGAAAGAGTCAGTAAAGAAAATAACCTTTCTGTTCCTCCTGCTGCTGCCTCTCTCCGTGCACACCATGAACACAGCACAAAGGGGAGGGCCTTGCATGCTGGCTTTCCCCCATCTCAGGCTTGTCCCTTTCAGAATACTGAGGAGGAGATGCAGAAGGATAAGGAAATAATGCTGATCTACATCGACAAGGGCCATTTTCTGTATCACCTGGATACTCCAAATCACAGCTTAGTTTCCTTTTAATCCATAAGGCTACAGTTATTTGAGCCATCATGTTAATTGGGAGTCCCCTGTGTCTCCACGGAAGAGTGGCCAGCTCCACCCAGTAGAACTTCCTGGGTACAAGAAGTTCTGCTCAGGGTCATCATTGGGAGATTCCACCTGGTTTTCCTGGATTCTTGTAAATGGGTGGCCTTTGGCAGAGGAATCATGCAGTTCCCTGGCAGTGAACATTCTGTGTCTCTCTCTAAGTGGTGGTCTGGCTTTTATTTTGAAACCAGTTCTAAAGAGAAAGAACAGTTTGTTAATTCAATCTGTTGGTTAAGACATATTGTACAATGCATTTCCACAATGTAGAATTTTACAGTTAAGTTTAGTCTCAGGATGATCACCGGCTTGTTTCCTGACTTGAATAAGACACAAAGAATGAAGGCAATCCTTTGTGGGGCTGCACATTATGGAGGTTATAAATTGTGCACAATCCCAAAATTTCAACTGCCTCATAGTTGCAGTGGCCCTTTTGTACATGCAAACCTGGACCTTTCAAAATCTCCTACCAACCTGTTTGCAATCCTCCGCATTTGGAAAGAACAGACTTCCAGCCTTTCCCTAACTTATTTATTTTACTCACGCTGACCTACCAGGATAAACTTGTGATTCAATATACTCTAAATTATACTCTTAAATTCACTGTATTCAAAGACTATGCATAAAACAAGCAAGAGTTGGCCGGGCACAGTGGCTCATGCCTGTAATCCCAGCTCTTTGGGAGGCTGAGGCAGGTGGATCACAAGGTTGGGAGTTCAAGACCAGCCTGGCCAACTGGTGAAACCCTGTCTTTACTAAAAAAAAATACAAAAATTAGCTGGGCATAGTGGTGTGTGCCTGCAATCCTAGCTACTTGGGTGGCTGAGGGAGGAGAATTGCTTGAACCCAGGAGGGGGAGGTTGCAGTGAGATGAGATTGTGCCACTGCACTCTGGCATGGGTTACAGAGCAAGACTTTATCTAAAAAAAAAAAAAAAAAAAGGAACAAGCAAGAGTTTGTAATAACCTGGCAAGGCATCTTACACGTGACTCTAAGCATTCCATTTGACACCTCTAGTCTTCATTTTTTTCCCTCCTCCACAAAGAGAGGATAATTACACCTGCCAACCATAATCCCTAGGGGTTTAGGGGAGGGAGAAATGATCAACACTGTTTTAGACTCTCCATCCTAATAAGCTCTGTTGTGGTACCGCACCTAGAGCCCTACCATGCAGGTAAGGATGTCTGGGGGCCTTTTAATATTTGATCCCTCCAGGAACCCCTCTGTCTGCAAGTTCAGAATTGCTTTAGGTTAATAGCGCTTAAAGCTAGAAAGATGTCTGATCCACACCTATAATGACTGCTTAAAACAAAGTTGTGGGCCAGGCGCGGTGGCTCACCCCTGTGATCCTAGCACTTTGGGAGGCTGAGGTGGGTGGATCACCTGACATCAGGAGTTCGAGACCAGCCTAGCCAGCATGGGGAAACCTCATCTCTACTAAAAATACAAAAATTAGCTGGGCATCATGGCGCATGCCTGTAATCTCAGCTACTCAGGAGGCTGAGGGAGGAGAATCCCTTGAACGCAGGGGGCAGAAGCTGCAGTGAGCTGAGATTGTGCCACTACACTCCAGCCTGGGCAACAGAGTGAGACGCCATCTCAAAATAAATAAATAATAAACAAATAAATAAAATTGTGACCATGCACAATGAACCTGGCACCTCCAGATATACTCATTTTCTTCTCACAACACCATCACAACATAATTATACATATTTTACAAAAAGATAAGGTGCAAGAGTCAACTTGCACCTTATAAGTCAACTTGCACCTCTATAAGTCAGATGTTATAGAGCCATTAGGAGGTAGATCTCATGAGGACCCAACCAAAAGACAAGACCTCACTCTCTCATGACAGAGCCTCCTGTGGCCCTCCCCTCAAACATGCTTGCTTCCTGATCACATCATGGGCACTTTCTTTAAGCACATGCAGGCCAGTTCAATTCAGTGTAATTTGATTAGCCGTTATCTATGAACTTCCTTTTAGGAATCTATCCCTCTGACAAGTAGAAAGGATAAAACATAATTAAAAAGCACTTTTGACCATGAGCAACCCAACTGTCACAAAGTTAGAAATGTAAATAAATGAACAGTATAAGAACGTTCATTTAAATGTTTGACCAAGCCCAGGCGCAATGGCTCATGCTGTAATCCCAGCACTTTGGGAGGCTGAGGCAGGAGGATTGCTTGAACCCAGGAGTTTGAGCCCAGGCTAGGCCATATGGCAAAACCCCATCTCTACATTAAAAAAAAAAAAAAATTAACCAGGCATCATGTCCTGTGGTCCCAGCCACTCAGGAGGCTGAGGTGGGATCACTTAAGCCCAGGGAGTCGATGCTGCAGTCAACCACAATTGCGCCACTGAAATCCAGCCTGGGCAACGGAGTGAGACCCTGTCACTTAAAAAAAAAAAAAAAGAAATCGATCAGTCCTTCCATTTCTATCCTGGTTATTTACTTTATTTGGATTTTCTACTTATTTGCAGGAAAGCATTTGTTTGTATTTCCCTTGAAATGTTCTCACTTCATGAAGCTTTTTTTTTTTTTTTTTTTGTGATGGAGTCTCCCTCTGTCACCCAGGCTGGAGTGCGGTGGCATCATCTCAGCTCACTGCAACCTCTGTCTCCAAGGTTCAAGCGATTCTCCTGCCTCAGCCTCCTGAATAGCTGGGATTACAGGTGTCTGCCACCACTCCCAGCTAATTTTTGTATTTTTGTAGAGATGGGTTTTTGCCATGTTGGCCAGGCTGGTCTTGAACTCCTAACCTCAGGTGATCCACTCACCTCGGCCTCCCAAAGTGCTGGGATTACAGGCATGAGCCACCATGCCTGGCCTACTTCACGAAACTTTTATAAAAATTTCATTACACAATATTTGCCTATACTTTTCCTTTATTCTCCAAAGTTGCTTATATTCTTTGTTTTCACTAACACAATTTTGTCCTTCTGTCAAGCAACCAATATATTCAATAGTCAAAGGATAATCACAGATGAGAAATATGAAAGTCTCCTTAAATGTGTATATATAATCTGTCAGGGGATTAGAGAATATATTGTATGTGTAAATAATATAAATTCAAATACAATAAGATGTTGTGCTTTAACAATTTACAATGATCATATCAGAAAATCACCAAACAAAATATTAGTTCGTGCAATAAATGGTTATGAAGCAACTACTGATGCTGTGGGGTTCTGTGCCAAGTCCCGTGACACTATCAAGCCAAGTTCTTCCTCCTGCACTTCAGACTTGCATGCCTAACTTTTTACTTACTCCTTGGAGTAAGTAAACTCTTAGAAGTTTAATTGGCACACCAAACTTAACGTGTGCAAAGTAAAACTCCAAATGTCTGACACAAAAGTGCTCTTCTCCCAAGCTCCCCTGTTAGTTAAAGGCATCTCCAATCTTCCATGTCAAGCCAAAACTTTGGAGCTATCCTTACCTCTGGCATCCCCAATAACTCAGCAAACTATAAGCCGCTCCACCTTTAAAAATTAAAGGTCTTCCCAGTTCTCTAATTCCACAGCCAGCACCCTTGTCAAAACCATCACTGTCTCTATCCTGGAAAATTACAATAATAGCTTTTTCTTTTTTTTGAAACAGAGTATCGCTCTGTCGTCCAGGCTGGAGTGCAGTGGCGTGATGTTGCCTCACTGCAACCTCCACCTCCTGAGTTTAAGAAATTCTCCTACCTCAGCCTCCTGAGTAACTGTGATTACAGGCGCGTGCCACCATGCCCGGCTAATTTTTATATTTTTGGTAGAGACAGGGTTTCACCATGTTGGCCAGGCTGGTCTTGAACTCCTGACCTCAGGTGATCCGCTCACCGCAGCCTCCCAAGGTGCTGGGATTATAGGCATGAGCCACCGCAGCCAGCCTACAGTAGCTTCTTAACACTGCTCCCAAATTTGCCTCACAATAGTCTATTTTCCATAAAATGCATATATAATATATTCACACCCACATTGAGATGAACAACAACCAAAAAAAAAAAATCAAATTTTTTTTTTTTTTTTTTTGAGAATCTCACTGTTGCCCAGGCTGGAGTGTAGTGGTGCCATCTTGGCCCTGTGCAACCTCTGCCTCTGAGGTTCAGGCAATGCTCCTGCCTCAGCCTCCCAAGTAGCTGGGACTACAGGCACGTGCCAACCTGCCTGGCTAATTTTTGTATTTTTGGTAGAGATGGGGTGTTGCCATGTTGGCCAGGCTGGTCTCGAACTCCTGGCCTCAAGTGATCTGCCCGCCTCAGCCTCCCTAAGTGCTGGGATTACAGGCATGAGCCACTGCGCCCAGCCTAAAAAAATCACTTTGTGCTATGTGATAAAATGCTATTAAACTTTTTCATGCTTCTTTACATTTTCCACATTATCTATAAAAAGACATACCCATGCAAAGCTTTTAATATTTTACTTACATCAATTACAAACACAGGACAAGAGACTGTCCAGCCAGTTTTTCCCTGGTTGTAAAATTAGGATAAGGATTCTGTGCAAATGACTGCTGAAGTACACTCAGCTTATCCTTGGCAAATTTAAGCCACGGTTTTACACTTCCTCTTCCCCATCTTCTTGTTCTTACTTCATTATGACTGGTTAATGGGAGATCCTGAAAAATGTACAAACAGAAAGAGAAAAGCATTGGAGAATACTAGTAATATCCAGAGTGGGGGGAAAAAAAAGGTCAATCATTGGCTATTTCATAAAATTTTTAAAAAGTGGAGCCCAATCTCATACCTGTACATAATAATAAAGTTACTAATGAGATTAGCCAAGTGTAGTGACTCAGGCCTGTAATCCCATTGACTCAGGAGGCTAAGATGGGAGGACTGCTTGAGGCCAGGAGTTCAAGGATCAGCTTAGGCAACATAGCAAGACCCCATCTCTAAAAAAATAGAAGTTCAAGGCTGCAGTGAGTCATGATTGTGCCACTGCACTCTAGCCTGGGCATCTGAGCAAGGCCCTGGCAAAAAAAAAGAGGTAAAATAAAAATTTTTAAAAATTAGCTGGGCTTGGTGGCACATGCCTGTTAACCTAGCTGCTTGGGAGGCTGAGGTGGGAGGATCATTTGAGCAAGCCCAGGAGGTCAAGGCTACATTGAGCCATGATCACACCACTGCACTCCAGCCTGGCTGACAGAGTGAGACCCTGTCTCAAAAAAAATTTTTTTTTAATTAAGATACAAAGCTATCCTGTGTTCCTGGATTAGAAGAACTAATATTGTTAAGATGGCTCTACTACCCAAAGTGATCTATATCTTTAATGCAATTCCTATTTTTAAAATCCCAGACATGTTTTGCAGAATAGGAAATTTCATCCTAAAATGTATGTGGAATCTCAAGGTATCCACAATAGACAAAACAATCTTTAAAAAGGAGAACAGAGTTGAAGGTCTCACACCTCCTGATTCCAAAACTTACTACAAACCTATGATGAAACAATGTGGTACTAGTGGATGTACAAGTGTAAATATATTCTGTAGATATTTTCTTGAGGTTACCATTGCAATTATAGTTTGGTACTAGCACAAAGGCAGGCATATAGACTGGTGGGATAGACTAGAGAGCTCAGAAATAAATCCTCACAAACATGGTCAAATGATTCACAAGGGTGTCAAGACCATTCACTGGGGAAAGGACATTCTTTTCAACAAACAGGGCTGTGGGAAACTGGGTATCCACATGCAAAATAATCAAGTTGGGGCCGGGTGCAGTGGCTGATGCCTGTAATCCCAGCACTTTGGGAGGCCAAGGGGGCGGATCACGAGGTCAGGAGATCGAGACCATCCTGGCTAACACGGTGAAACCCCGTCTCTACTAAAAAATACAAAAAATTAGCAGGACGTGGTGGCAGGCACCTGTAGTCCCAGCTACTCAGGAGGTTGAGGCAGGAGAATGGCGTCAACCCAGGAGGGGGAGGTTGCAGTGAGACGAGATCTCACCACTGCACTCCAGCCTGGTCAACAGAGTGAGACTCCATCTTAAAAAAAAAAAAAAAAGAAACTACAACCCAACAACAAAGAAAAAAAAACCTGATTTTAAAATGGGCAAAGGACTTGAACAGATATCCCTCCCAAAAAGGTATATGAATGGCCATTAAGCACATTAAAAATGTTCACCATCAATAATCATTAGGGAAATGAAAAAAAAAAATCAAATCCACAGTGACACATCATCTCACCCCCCATCTCACCCCATTAGGATAGGATGGCTACTGTCAAAAACAAAAAAAAAACCCAGTAAGAGTTGTCAAGGATGTGAAGAAATGTAAAATGGTGTGGCCACATGAAAAACAGTATGGTGGGCCAGGCGTGGTGGCTCATGCTTGTAATCCCAGCACTTTGGGAGGCCGAGGTGGATGGATCACCTAAGGTCAGGAGTTCGAGACCAGCCTGGCCAACATGGCAAAACCCCATCTCTACTAAAAATACAAAATTAGCCGGGCATGGTGGTGTGCACCAGTAATCCCAGCTACTCAGGAGGCCAAGGCAGGAGAATCCCTTGAACCTGGGAGGCAGAGGTTGCAGTGAGCCAAGATCACACCACTGCACTCCAGCTTGGGTGACAGAGTGAGACTCTGTCTAAAAAAAAAAAAAAAGAAAAAGAAAAAACATTATGGTGGTTTCTCAAAAAATTAAATATTATTATATGATTCAGCAATTCCACTTTTGGGTAAATACCCACAATCATTGAAAGCATGGACTTGAACAGCAATTTGTACACTTATGTTCATAGGAGCATATTGTTCCCAATGCCATGACCCAATATAAAAACTTCCCAACATTTCTAAAAAGCAAATGTGCACACGTAACACTTGTAAAAAACATAAGTTTTTTACGATAAACACTCAGTTCCTATAGTAAAAACAGCAACCAAACCAACTTGCTTTGTATGGCCATAGACCCACAGTGAGGAGCAGGACCTCTGGAGCCTGCCTGCCAGTGATTAAATCCTGGCTCTGAGACTGACAGGCCACAGTGTAGCACTGACTGCCAGTGCCCTCCTGGGCTACTCTTCTTGTCTCTGGCTGCTCTCCAGGCCCTGGGATGGAGGCCATTCCTATGGCATCTTCTTGGAGGACTTCATGTTCTAAAGGCATCACAGTTGAGCCATGATTGCTTCCAGGGCTCTTTGATGCAGATTCTTGCCTCTGAAATATAGTGATGAGCCCAGTGGACTTCTGGGCCCACTGTATATTATCGGGGCACCTTTGACTTAGGTTATTACTCATTAAACACAACGTATTAAGATACAAGGCACCGCTGGAACTAACCGGAGACTTCTCTCAACCAGGGCTCATCTAGAAAAAGAAATCCAGAATCCCCATACTTTGCAAGCCCACCTTCCCAGAGAACAGGAGTGTCAGTTTCTTCCATATCCCAGGTTTGAAAAGCTCCAAATTATTTCTGAATTTCATGAAATATCAAATCTGTGAACAAAAGGGAAAAAAATGCCTAGGGCCATTTCTACAATTCTTCCAGTATAGCTCTTTTGCTTTGAGGACGTTTTTGTTTTCAGTATTCACCCTGTTTACATTTAACCATACAGGAAAGTAGACGGAAGCGTATAATTAGCCTGATGATCTTATCACTGAAATTTAATATATAGCAATACCTGGCCAATTTTATCTCCTTGACACCCCACCCTCATTATTTTGAAGTGAATCTCAGACATGTCATTCACCCGAAAATACATCCATATGTATCTCTAAAATATAAAGTCTCTCTTAATGCTATGATGGGTTAAGATTTAAATACCTGAGCCTCTAGTAAAATCCTATACCCAATTCTACCATACGGCAACCACACACAATTACTCTGATGAAATCAGCTGTTCCCAGCCTACAAGCTTGAACTTTTGAAAGGTGAAAGTCAGGCCTAGCAGGGTGGCTCATGCCTGTAATCCCAGCACTTTGTGAGGCTGAGGTGAGCAGATTGCTTTGAGTTCAGGAGTTTGAGACCAGCCTGGGCAACATAGCAAAACCCTGTCTCTACAAAAAAACCAAAATTAGCCAGGTGTGGTGGTGCATGCCTGTGGTCCCAGCTACTTGGGAGGCTGAGGCTGGAGAATATAGCTTTGAGTCCAGGAGGCAGAGGTTGCAGTGAGCCAAGATTCCCCAACTCCAGCCGGGGCAACTGAGTAAGACCCTGTCTCAAAAGAAAAAAAAAAAAGTGAAAGCCCAAACACCTATTAATACAAAACACTAATGCATTAGGTAAGGAGCCTCCTGCAAAAGAAACACGCTTTGGTGTCCACCACAGAAACTCACCGTTGGAAGTTCAGATGAATCTCTAGTCCAGGTTCTGAATGATAAAGTGATTAACTCTGAAGCAGCAATCATCAAACATAACCCTGAGACGCCCTCCCTCACACACCCTAGACACAGCCCCGCCCCAGACACAGCCCCACCCTAGGCACAGCCTTGCCCTAGACACACCTCTTGATGGCTTTACCTAACTTTTCAAATCCCATTCACTCAATGAGCACCCAGTGAAAACAATTTGCTTATTTAATCCCTACAACACCCTTATAATGTGCATCCTATTTTAATCCTACTTAGACTTGAAGACAGGGGGACAGAAAGGTTTAGAGCACAGAGTGAGCCTCTGACCCAGGCAGTCTGACCTTGAACCTCCTGCCTGTGGCCATCACTTTCACATTTATAGACTGCACGCTCTGTGAGGACGGAAGCCTTGTCAGGCTCACAGAAGATCCACATCACCTGATATATCATTGCTTACAGAATACTGAGATTGGAGGCAGGAGTGACCAGAGATTAACACTGAATAAGGACATTCTAAGATATAAAACTAATGTTTTATAAACATTAAACCATTTGCTAATTCATCTTATTCTAAAAACTACCCTATGAGATACCAAAACCTCCATATTACAGACAAGGAAACTGTGGGCTTTTCTGCTTTTTTCACAACTCTAGGACATTGTACTTTCCCAAATGTGTGGAATAAGGTAATAACACTTGGAGGGTTTTTTGTCCTCCAGGTTTGGAAAATGCAGCTCATCCTCGACAAGTGTTTTATATTAATCCATCTTAATTCAGAGTGATACATATATTCTTCGTTCTACTTAAACTAATTGCTACAATTTATGAGGACTCATTATATGGCCGGCCCAAAGAACAGAGTTTTCAGACATTATCTTACCTAAATCTTACAGTGCCTTACGGAGATATATATTATTATACAGATGACTACTGAAGCACAGAGAGATTAGCTAATTTACCTGAGGTCAAACTCTAAGAAGAGGAAAATAACTAGCAGGAATTAAAGCAGGTGAAAATAAAGTTTGAATTGGGCAAGGTAATGGCTGACTTGCAGGAAGGAAACAGCCCCAAATGATTTCGGTTTCTCACTTCATTCCAGGGTGGACCGCGCCTCTGCAACAACAACAACAACAACAGAAAAAAAAAACAGGAAAAAGCAGGAGGAACAACTCGTGGTTTTCTTCATTTCCGCGCAAGGATGGTTAACATAACCTCCTTTCATCCTGGGACTCCAGCAGGTCCTTTCAAGCAGTGCCAGATGCTTTGGGGTAGTTGAAGAAATATTTTGGGAGCTGGAAGTCTTGGAGAATATCAACGACTGAGAGAGTAGAGCAAACCAAAATTAGATTGGGCCTATGCTGAGTTCTTTGGCTTTTTTGTCTTCCCAGTAATTCGGGCCCGCTTTGTGGTTGTTGATTTATTATTTTTTGAGACCGAGTCTTGCTCTGTCACCCAGGCTGGAGTACAGTGGCAGGATCTCGGCACACTGCAAGCTCCGTCTCCCAGGTTCAAGCAATTCTCCTGCCTCAGTCTCGCGAGTAGCTCGGATTACAGGCACGCGCCACCACACCCAGCTAATTTTTGTATTTTTTGTAGACACTAGGTTTACGCAACTTCGCCGAGGCCGGTCTCGAACTCCTGAGCTCAAGTGATCCACCCACATTGGCCTCCCAAACGCTGGGATTACAGGCTTGAGCCACCACGCCCACTCGTGCTTTATTCTCAGTAACCTTGAAATCACACTAGGTGGCGACCTTCCCCGTCCGCCCCCATCAAGCTGCTTCCAAAAACATTTTTACCAGGCACCTTCACTTTCTTTCTTTTCATTCTTTTCTCAACTCCAGTCTCTCTGTTCTCACTGCATTGTTTAGACATCATTGGTAAAAGTTAACAAATCAGGTCCTAAATTGCCCGATCATACGGTTAATCTTCTTTCCTAAGTCATCGAACATTGTTAGCCAATCTTTGTCTTCCTTGAAAGCTCCCCTACTTCAGATTTTTTTTCTTCTTGCTGTTGCCCAGGCTGGAGTGCAGTGGCGCGATCTCGGCTCACTGCAACCTCCGCCTCCCTGGTTCAATCGATTATCCCATCTCAGCCTCCTGAGTAGCTTGGATTACAGGCGCAAGCCACAACGCCCGGCTAATTGTATTTTTAGTAGAAACAGGGCTTCACAATGTTGGCCAGGCTGGTCTCCAACTCTTGACCTCAGGTGATCCGCCCACCTCAGCCTCCCAAAGTGCAGGGTTACTTACAGGTGTGAGATTCTTTCCTTTTTTTTTTTTTTTTTTTTTTTTTTTTTTTTTTTTTGAGACGGAGTATTGTTCTGTTGCCCAGGCTGGAGTGCAGTAGCATGATCTCGGCTCACTGCAACCTCCACCTCCCGGGTTCAAGCAATTCTCCTGCCTCAGCCTCCTGAGTAGCTGGGACTACAGGTGCCCGTCACCACGCCCGGCTAATTTTTTTTTGCATTTTTAATAGAGACGGGGGTTTCACTGTTAGCCAGGATAGTCTCGAACTCCTGACCACGTGATCCAACCACCTCGGCCTCCCAAAGTGGTGGGATTACAGGCGTGAGCCACCACACCCGGCCCTGGCCCAGATTCTTTATCAAGCTCGGCTTTGGTGGATGTCCACTGAGTCCTTAATCCTTTTTCAAAATATCGCGAAACAGTAAGGGCCCAGCTTATACTGAGTGCTATGTATTGAGACCTGCAATGCAGCTGTGAATAGCACAAATGCAGTCTCTGAAAATCAACGTTCTGGTGAACTTTTAAAAATACGTAACTCCTGGCCGGGCGAGGTGGCTCAGGCCTGTAATCCCAGCACTTTGGGAGGCCGAGGCAGGTGGATCACGAGGTCAGGAGATCGAGACCATCCTGGCTAACACGGTGAAACCCCGTCTCTGCTAAAAATACAAAAAATTAGCCGGGCGTGGTGGCGGGCGCCTGTATTCCTAGCTACTTGGGAGGCTGAGGCAGGAGAATGGCGTGAACCCGGGAGGCGGAGCTTGCAGTGAGCTGAGATCCTGCCACTGCACTCCAGCCTGGGCGACAGAGCGAGACTCTGTATCAAAAAACAAAACAAAACAAAACAAAAATATATACATAGCTCCCAATTATCACCTGCAAAGCAAAGTCAGAATGTATTAGAATGCCTGGCAGGGAGTTTCATGACCTAACTACTATTAAACTCCCATTCAGACCAGGAGTGGTGGCTCACATCTGTAATCCCAGAATTTTGGGAGGCCAAGACAGATGGATCACTTCAGGTCAGGAGTTCGAGACCGGCCTGACCAACATGGCAAAACCCCGTCTCTACTAAAAATACAAAAATTAGCCAGGTATGGTGGCACATGCCTGTAATCCCAGCTACTCAGGAGGCTGAGGCATGATAATCGCTTGAACCTGGGAGTCGGAGGTTGCAGTGAGTTGAGATAGTGCCACTGCACTCCAGCCTGGGTGACAGCAAGACTCTATCCCCTCCAAAAAATATTTTTTAATAATTAAAATTTAAAAAAAATTATACTACCATTCAGCTTCGCCTTTGAGACTCACCACCTGCGAAATCTTTGTTCTAATAACCAGCCTTGTCCATTTCTAGGTGCTGAGATACTCTCGGCCCTCTTGGCTTCGTCCATCTGCTTCAGATGCCACAGAAGAGTTCCAAGTGACTCTGGAAAAAAAAAACACTTTGACCAAAACAAAGTTATCAACATGGCAATTTGATTTTAATGGTTATCTGGTTAAAATGAAAAAGACATCATTAGCAACAGGTGTGTAAGATTCTAGTGTTCTGTAAAATGATCTTGTTTTCCTTAAGTGTTCTTTTTTTTTTTTTTTTTCCAGGGTTGGGGGCAGGAAATTCCCAGCTTTTGGGGACATTTTTCCCCACTTTTTGGATACAATGAATTCATTGGATACAATGAATTCATTGGATACAATGAATGTTAAAAGTTCCATTAACTTAATGTCCAAAAGCAAGTTTAGTCCTTTGGTTTCCCTACTTCAAAATGTAGCATTTGCCTTCTTCATGACCAAAAGTAAACATGTTTGTAAAGCTATTTATCATTACTATTAAAGCTTGACAAAACCAGTGAATTTGGCAAATCAGTGATTCAGCAAATTGGCTTTCAACACATTTTGTTGATGATTTTATGTCAATTGACTATTCAATACATTTATATTTTCTCAAACTGAATTTCAGCTACTTGTCTGCTTCTTTCACATCACAAAACTTATTTCACTAAATTGTAACAATACAGAATAACTAACATTTATTATGTTTTTAATTTGTGCCACTTTTAAGCTAACTGCTGGCCGGGCCTGGTGGCTCATGCCTGTAATCCCAGCATTTTGGGAGGTCGAGGCAGGCAGATTACTTGAGGCGTGAAGTTCAAGACCAGCCTGGCCAACATGGCGAAATCCCCATCTCTACTAAAAATACAAAAATTAGCCGGGTGTAGTGGCACACACCTATAATCCCAGCTATTCAGAGGCTGAGGCACGACAATCCTTTGAGCCGGGGCATGGAGTTTGCAGTGAGCTAAAATCATGCCAATGTACTCCAGCCTGAGTGACAGAGGGAGACTCCCTCTTAAAAAAAAATAAGCTATTCACTTTCCAAACATAGATATATATGTTTGAAAAGTGATATATATACATATTATATATATATATATATATATATTTTAAGTTATATAGGTCAAATTTCTGCACAAAATCTAATTATCATCATTATCATTATTTGAAGATTTTTAGGAAGGGCAAACACACCCTGGTTTCCTCCCTTCTACTACAACACCCTCGTGGATTATCCCTGCCCCCTCATTCATTAATTCAATGCTCTGAGAACATTTCTGTTTGTAATCTTTGAATACAGAATCTCATAAGTGCTAAATAGAAACCTGTATTAAAACATTATTATGCTGCCTCTAGTAAATTCTTTTTGATTATTCCGTTGTCTGTCATATGAACTACAGTATGCTCAACCTGAGATAATTTGTCTTGTTCGCAGTTGACTCTACGAAAAGAGTCAAACTCTGTAAAACATTTGAAGAGATTTATTCTGAGCCAAATATGAGTGAACATGGCCTGTGACACAGCCCTCAGGATGTCCTGAGAACGTGTGCCCAAGCTGGTCGGGGTGCAGCTTAGTTTTATACATTTTAGGGAGACATGATAATTCCATCAAGTATATTTAAGAAATATGGCCAGGTGCAGTGCCTCACGCCTGCAATCTCAGCACTTTGGGAGGCTGAGGTGGGCAGGTTGCTTGAGGCCAGGAGTTTAAGACCAGCCTGGCCAACATGGCAAAACCCTGTCTCTACTAAAAATATAAAAATTCGCCGGGCATGGTGGCATGCGCCTGTGATCCCAGCTCCCAGGTAGGCTGAGGCACAGGAATCGATTGAACCCGGGAGGCAGAGGTTGCAATGAGCCGAGATTGTGCCACTGCACTCCAGCCTGGGCGACAGAGCAAGATTCTGCTCAAAAAAACAAAAACAAAAACAAACAAACAAAAAAAAAAAAACAGGAAAAGAAAGAAATACATTGGTTTGGTCCAGGAAGGTGAGACAACTCAAAGCTGTGGGTGTGTGTTGGGGGGTGCTTCCAGCTTATAGGTAGATTTAAAATTTTCCTGGTTGACAATTGGTTGAGTTTATCTAAAACCCTGGGATCAACAGAAAGGAATGTCTAGGTTAAGACAAAGGATTGTGGAGACCCACATTCTTATTTACAGAGGAAGCCTTAGGTAGTAGGTTTCAGAGAGAATAGGTTGTAAAATGTTTTTTATCAGACTCAAAGTCTGTGCTGATGTTAATGTCAGAGACGTATAACAAGGCATGTCTCACTGCCACTTCCCATCATGGTCTGAAACAGTCTCTCAGGTTAAATTTTAAAAGAGCCGTGACTGAGGAGAAAGTACATTCAGATGGTTGGAGGGCTTTAGAATTTTATTTTTGGTTTACATTCTCCCCCTTCTGGCCAATATTTACCAGAGGCAACATCAAAGGCCATCAAATCTTTATTTTGTCCCATAGCATTGCCAGGGTGGCGTGGCTGCCTGTCCCCCATCCATCCTGTCCCTTGGTGGGACTTCCTATGGCTGAGGGCCTTAAGAGTCAAAAGACTGGCCAGGCGTGGTGGCTCACACCTGTAATCCCAGCACTTTCGGAGGATGAGGCAGGTGGATCACCTGAGGTCGAGAGTTCGAGACCAGCCTGACCAACATGGGGAAACCTCATCTCTACTAAAAATACAAAACTAGCCGTGCGTGGTGGTGCATGCCTATAATCCCAACTATTCAGGAGGCTGAGGCAGGAGAATCACTTGAACCCGGGAGGCGGAGGTTGCAGTGAGTCGAGATTGTGCTATTGCACTCCAGCCTGGGCAACAAGAGCAAAACGCCATTTCAAAAAAAAAAAAAAAAAGTCAAAAGATTTGTAGCCAATTAATTGTACTAGGCCAGATAGGAATGGACGTGGACAGGCATTCATTACCTCTTAAATTATTATTTTAAGTAAAACGCCAACAAACAAAAACCTAAAGGCAAAGCTGCAACACTGACTTATTTCAACTTCTATGTGTTGAGCTACTGTAAGCTTGGTTTTATAGACTTACAGCAATTAGCTATATAAAACATTGGCGATGTTCTGAGAAAATATTTTAAATATGTATATGTATATATATGAGAGACAGAGAGATTTATGTTCTCAACTCATAACTGGGATAACTATACCCAGGAGGCTTTGTTGTAAGGTATCTTTATCCTGTTAGTAAATATTTTCCTTTAATTTTACAGGAAGCAAAAATTTATTGGCCGGGTATGGTGGCTCATGCCTGTAATCCCAGCACTTTGGGAGGCCAAGGCGGGTGGATCATCTGAGGTCAGGAGTTTGAGACCAGCCTGACCAACATGGTGAAACCCCATCTCTATTAAAAATACAAAATTAGCTGGCTGAGGTGGTGAATGCCTGTAATTCCAGCTACTCAGGAGGCTGAGCCGAGATCACGCCACTGCACTCTAGCCCGGACGACAGTGCCAGACTCCGTCTCAAAAACAAAAAGTATTTATGTTTGGGGTGGATGCAACAGTGACACATAATCATTTAGAAGGCAAAGTTCCTTGTTTTACCAGCTGTTGAGGCATCTTTATACTCCTCCTTGATTTGAAGGGTTTGACCTTGACCTAACTTGAGCCCTCAAAACTGGCTCTTACAATCTCATGTACCCAACTCTTCCACAACCCTGGGTCTAGAGGGAGGGTGCTTGTATAGTTTTAGCAGCAGGGCATTTGCAGTGAAAAACACACTGGGGCCCAGTGGGATGCCAAATGAGGGAGATTCACATCTCTGGTCTTCAGAATACCATGATTTTGGTTTCCTTGGCAATAAAACAAGGAGAAAGAAATAACGTTTATAGTTTCACAATCAAAAGAGTATTTGTGTGTCACAACAGAAAAAGAAACTTATTCCATTAGGGCACCAGCTAAAAATATGAAGAAAAATTATCATCTGGTATCTCTAGAGGATTATCGTAGCCAAGAAATAATAATTCAATCTGAACTCAAAAAAGCAAAAGCTAGGTCTGAAATCTAGCATTAACTGTTACACTTTTCCTTTGAAACAATTTCTCTAGCCTCTTTTTTTCTATTAAGGAGAATTTATACTCCTTAAACACAAACAAAATTTGTGTGCAAAGTAAGTTTTAGGCTTATTATACTAGCCTGATTATTTGCATAACATGCAGCAACAATCGATTGGCCATATAGGCTCCTTTTAAGTTGGCTTTGCTGGAACTTTACCTAAAAATATGCTACTTTGGTTGGGCGTGGTGGTTCATGCCTGTAATCCCAGCACTTTGGGAGGCCAAGGCAGGTGGATCACAAGGTCAGTAGTTCAAGACCAGCCTGGCCAATATGGTAAAACCCCATCTCTACTAAAAATACAAAAATTATCCGGGCGTGGTGGCACGCTCCTGTAATCTCAGCTACTCAGGAGGCTGAGGCAGGAGAATCACTTGAACCCGGGAGGCAGAGGTTGTGGCTGCTGAGCTGAGATTGTGCCACTGCACTCCAGCCAGGCGACAGGGCAAGACTCCATCTCAAAAAAAAAAAAAAAAAAAAGCTACTTTAGTTAAAGTCTTGGTAAGATAACGAGTGTCTTCAATTGTTCTGTTTCAAAAGACTTACTGAACTTATCCAAATAACTGTATTGTAATAAAACTACAATCCAAATTTTGAAGAACCTAGATGGAAAGGTAAATTTGCTTACAAAAACATACTTCTCCCGGCTGGGCGCAGTGGCTTACGCCTGTAATCCCAGCAGTTTGGGAGGCCAAGGCAGGAGGATCGCTTGAGTCCAGGCTGGGCAACGAGGCAAAACCCCATCTCCACAAAAAATATAAAAATTATGCCGGTGCAGTGGCTCATGCCTGAAATCCCAGAACTTGTGGGAGTCCCAGGCCCGTGGATCATCTGAGGTCAGGAAGTCGAGACCAGCCTGACCAACATGGTGAAACCCTGTCTCTATTAAAAATACAAAATTAGCTGGGTGAAGTGGTGCATGCCTATAATCCCAGCTACTCAGGAGGCTGAGGCAGGAGAATCGCTTGAACCCTGGAGGCAGAGGTTACAGTGAGCCAAGATCATGCCATTGCACTCCAGCCTGGGCAACAAAAGTGAAACTCCGTCTCAAAAAAAACAAACAGTTAGCTGGGCATGGTGGCACGCACCTATAGTCCTAGCTACCGGGAGGCTGAGGTGTGAGGATTGCTTGACCCCCTGGGATGGAGGCTGCAATGAGCCGAGATGGCGTCACTGCACTAGAGCCTGGGTGACAGAGCAGGACTCTGTCTCAAAAACAAACAAACAAAAAACATATTCACCCAAATAAGTCAAAAAGAAAAGGATTTTCTTGACCCTTCTTTAGGCAGAGAAGCAGCTTTCAAACAGGATGTTTGTTTACCTTGGAAATGCCATTCACAAATCAAGCAGCTCATGAGAGCTGTCTATCAGGCACTATAGAATCTAGCAGCTACTCACAGAGTTAGAATTAGTCCTAAGAAAGGGGCTCCCTGCTTATCAGTATCTCCTCCTTATATCCCAAGGTAGCAAGATTCTATATAAACCATTTTTATTTTAGCATGGAACTCTTTTGGGGACCATTATTTCTATTAGCATAGGGTGTGGATCACATGAGGCCAGGAATTCAAAACTCCGTATCTACTAAAAATACAAAAATTAGCCGGGCGTGGTGGCTAACATCTGTAATCCCAGCACTTTGGGAGGCAGAAGTGGGTGGATCACCTGAGGTCAGGAGTTTGAGATCAGCCTGGCCAACATGGTAAAACCCCATTTCTACTAAAAATCAAAAATTAGCCGGGCATGATGGCAGGCACTTGTAATCCCAAACCCAGGAGGCAGAGGTTGCAGTGACTGGAGATCATGCCATTGCACTCCAGCTTGGGTGACAAGAGCGAAACTCAGTCTCAAAAAAAAAAAAATACAAATATTAGCTAGGCATGGTGGCACATGCCTATAATCCCAGCTACTCGGGAGGCTAAGGCACAAGAATCACGTGAACCTGGGAGGTGGAGGTTGCAGTGAGCCAAGATGTTGCCACTGCACTCCAGCCTGGGCGACAGAGGGAGACTCTTTCAAAAACAAACAAACAAACAAACAAACAAAACCCATTAGCATAGGGGTGGCTTCAATTAACATTCCCTAGTAAGGCAATAAATGCCTCCCAGGTGGATATTCTCTAGTTCAGTCATTGTCATTGGGAAGTACTCACCGTCTTTTGCCATCAATCCCAATAAATGCTCCACAAAGGGCTATGAAGTAGAGAATTTGTCATGACTAGCACTCTAGCTTCTACTCTATGCTTTGTGGGCTCAGGCAATCTTACTAGTTCCCACATGCAGAATAAAAAAAGGCAGGTCCAAAGATATTTATTTGCCTATTGTCAAAAAAAAAAAGATTATCTCCCTTACTTTAGATAATTAATAAAAAGTTACAGGAGCCAAATAAAAGGCAAAGGAGAGATTAATCATCCAAGGCCTTTTCAAAAGAGAAAGAGCTGAACTTCTGAGATATCAATCTGAAGAGTGTCAAAAAGATAGATTATAGAATTTAAGAATTAAAAGCTTCTTGCATTAAGTCAATATTTTAAATAAAATCTTGTTTTAACCAATTATTTAGTTTTGTATTAGTGGTTTTGCTAATGAGTACTAAGCTCTGACTTTTTTATTTATTTAAACATTTTTTATTTATTTAAACATTTATTTATTTATATAAAACCCACCCCAAGAAAGAATGATCTTTGCTTGTATAATTTTTGATAAATAAGACAATAATTTTTGATAAATAATAAACTAAAAAATTTATTTTTATTATTTTATGCCCAAATTCCTATCTAAGGGGTCTGTGGAGTCATGCCCTCAGATAGGTTTTATTTAACCCTATATATCATGATTTATTTTCCAACTTGACTCTGGCATAACATTAAGAGACAAAGAAGAAAATCAAACTATTTTACCCTAAAACGTGTTTCTTTGCCATATTTTGAAATGGTCCTGCAAAGCTGTTCTTTGTGGGGGAAAATTTGCATCTGTAAAGAATCTCTATTAACATAGCTAGATCTTTTTCTTCCAGACCCTCCCAATCCTAAAGAGATTAAGATCTGAATAGGAAACATTTTTCACCTATTGTCTCTAAGGCAGCTACAATAAGACTTCAAAAGAACTTTGGTCTCCAGTATCTTTATCTTAACCTGAACATTCCCTTTCTATCTATACCAGGTCTTTAGACAAACTCAACCAACTGTCAACCAGAGAATGTTTTAAATTCACCTATAACCTGGAAGCCCCTGCTTTGAGTTGTTCCATCTTTCTGGACCAAACCAATGTATTTCTTAAATGTATTTGATTGATGTCTCATGCCTTTCTAAAATGTATAAAACCAAGCTGTGCTCCAACCACCTTGGGCACATGTTCTCAGGACCTCCTGAAGGCTATGTCACAGGCCATGGTCACTCATATTTGGCTCAGAATAAGACTCTTCAAATATTTTATAGAGTTCAACTCTTTTCATTGATATTAATATCGAAGACCCATCTCTAGAAAGACTATCATAATTTCTTCTTAATCACAGCCAACTGAATTATATAACCCCTTTAAAAAAAATTAAATTCCTTTTTACTAACCTTATTATGACTTACATAGACCATTTACAACGTGCTTAGACTGTTTGTTTTGTCCTAAAGATCCCTCTTTCTTGAAAAACCAGTTATCTTATTTTAGGAAAAATTTACCATACAAGATTCTCATATAAAAATTTTTTTTCTTTTTACTTTCTTTACCAAAAATAACTCTTTATATCTGTAGCTTTCCTTACATCTCATATTTCCTAGTTCTGTTTACACTGTTTTATGCATAACCTTAAATAAGCTTTGAATTAAACAAAGGTATTTACCTTTTTTTAAAATTTTTTTTAAATTCTTTTTTTTTTTTTTTTTTGAGACAGAGTCTCGCTCTGTCACCCAGGCTGTAGTGCAGTGGCATGATCTCGGCTCACTGCAACCTGCACCTCCTGGGTTCAAGCAATTATCTGCCTCAGCCTTTTGAGTAGCTGGGATTATAGGCACCCGCCACTACACCTGGCTAATTTTTGTACTTTTAGTAGAGACAGGGTTTCACCATCTTGGCCGGGCTGGCCTTGAACTCCTGAACTCATGATCCACCCGCCTCAGCCTCTCAAAGTGCTGGGATTACAGGTGTGAGCCACCACATCTGCCATATTTACCTTTTAATAAGAATATTTTTAAAAAGTTTTCCTATAATTTTTAAATTGTAAATTACCCAGATATTCAATTAATACCTATTATTTAATATGACTTTAGATTCTAAATTTTATGACAAGTTTGTTTATAAGCATTTAGTCTATACATTTACTTGATTATCTAATAGTTTACCTAGGTTATTTATGAAAACAGTGATAGTCATCACTTCAAGTTAATTCTCTGTTAATTATTTTTATAGCTGTGAATTTCAGGTGTTTACTTAAGTAAGAAGCTTAAGGTTTAATATAAGGGTGTTTTTACCAATAACTCAGGATTTAGCTGTTTTCATTAAACCAACAATGTTTTGTGTCTTATTTATCAAAAATTATACAAGCAAAGATCATTCAGTTTTGGGCTGGGTTTTATAGTTTTATAACTCTTATGGTAAATCTTATAGCATTCTGCAGGAATAAAGCATGAAACCACTTGATCAATAAATGCAAACAAAAATACTAACAATTCTTAAGACATTTCTAGTATTATTTTACCAACAATTTTAAAGCAAGCTTATTTATTAAAGATTTTACTTAAGTCACATGTGATACAGAAGGGCTGGGCTCAGGGCTAAACCCCACCATTCAGCCTGGACCACGGCCCTAAGGGAAAACAGCTGACCCTGTTTTTCCACCTAAATAATGCCTTTTTGGCCTGCCACACCCCTATCCTGTGCCCATAAAAAGACTTCAGTTGCTAAAGAAAAAATAAAAATAAAAATAAACAGGAAAGAAAAAAACAAAGAAAAGAAAAAAAGATTTCAACTGGCAGAGCAACACAAGCAGCTGAGTGGTGGGAATACAAGTGGCTGAGTGGCAAGCAGAGAAGCAACTGAACATTCGAGACTATGGATAGACACGACAAACTTCAGATAGTGCGGCTTCAGAGAGCGGCCCAGCCAGAGACAGCCAGGCTTCAGGGAAAGATCACCTTCTTCCCACATCATTGCCTTTTCACCTCCGCATCCCGATGAGAGCCACTTCCATTACCCAGTAAAATCCTCCTTATACACTACCCTTCAATCCATTTGTGTGACCTGGATGTCAGACAAGAACCCAAGTGCCTAGAGGACAGCTGCTGCCACCCTGACCCTCCACTGAGCTAGCTGGCACTTGGCCATCTCTGGACAGCAGAGCTGAAAGAGCATTGATTGTAATATACTTGGATGCTGCTGCGGGGCCCACACAGAGCCTGCTCCTGCCAGAGAGGAGCAACTAGCCAGTTCCAGCATTTGTTCGCTCCAGTTCCTGCACTCACTAGCATGCATGATCCCTCTTGCAAGGAGTGGACAGCTGCTGGCTCAATGAAACCAGCCACTCCAGTTCCCACCCATGAAAGGGGTCAAGGGAATTATCCCATCTCACATGAACTTGAAAAACATTTGACTAGTCTTTTTTTTTTTTTGATAAAGTATTTGATTTAAGCACTTTCATTTTTCTTTAAACCACTTAATGCAAGCTCTTTTATATCTTTTTAGTAGTAAAATATTATATACACAACACAGAAATACATAGACATATTAGGCATACCAATAGAAGTACAGCTTACAGATTCATAAGACCTATTTTTTTTTCCTTAGACTTTTAAATTCTTGATAACCCATTTTATTACCCTAGGCAGTTTTAGCTAAAGTACTAAATTTGCATATTAAAGGAAACAACTCAAGTGAAAAATCAATTAGCAAAATTTACATCTCAAGAGGAAAAGTCAGGTGTGCTAGAGTGAAGTTAAAATGAATTTAATTACCAATTAAAATTATATAAATCTACTATAAAAGCCTTTTAAATATATATACACACACATATACACACATACACACAAAAAATCCCATAGCTTTTACTTCTGAACTTTAGTCATGAGATAAATACAAATGCACTGGGTTGAAAAAAAAAAAAAGTTTAGATCAAAAAGTGGTTTTAGGCCAGGCACTGTGACTCATGCCTGTAATCCCAGCACTTTGGGAGGCCAAGGCGGTGGACCACCTGAGGTCAGGAGTTTGAGACAAGCCTGGCCAACATGGCAAAACCCCGTCTCTGCTAAAAATAAAAAAAATAGCCAGGCGTGGTGGTGGATGCCTGTAATCTCAGCTACTCGGGAGGCTGAGGAAGGAGAATCACTTAAACCCAGGAGGTGGAGGTTGCAGTGAGCTGAGACCGTGCCACTGCACTCTAGCCTGCATGATGGAGTGAGACTCCATCTCAAAAAAAAAAAAAACCAGTGATTTTTAATCTCAATAGAAAAGTAACAGCAGATGTAAGTCAGACAGAAAAGAAAACAAAGAAAAGGAGAACTTAGGAACTCTATAGTTTGCAGGTCAACCTTAGGTCTCTTTTTCCTTAATGTAAATGTGCACAAACACCATAATACTTCAATTTCACATAAACTCTAGTAAGTAGAGCCACCATAATACTGATGGAGTGCCCAAAGGGGGTCATTCTCCTTGTTTTCTCCTCATACTTAGATTATTTGTTTCCCAGTATTTTTTAAAGGAGGAACTGAGCTGTGGCCTAGGGCTTTTGTGGAATGGGTGGAAGTGTGCTGGTTGCAGGCAGGACTCCACGGTGTCACCCCTGAGTCATCGTTGCCCTCTTATGTGTCTCAATTTCTCTCTCTGAAGCTCTAGCACCTCTCAGAGGGCTCAAAACCTGGAGCTCCCATACGTGCTTCCTGGATGAGCCTTTTTAAAACTAATTTTGTTGGGGGTTCCCTGTAGGGCTGCTGCGCTACATGTCATGATGGGTGGGTGAACCTCACAGACACTCCCACAAGGCCCCTGGTCACCCAGGGGTGCCTTTCAGCTGGGAGGAGTAAAATGCCCTTTCTCTTTGGAGCTAAGGAAACTCAGACTCTCATTTACCTACGAAAGCAACAGTTCAGTTTCTCATTCCATATCTTATTTATCAAAAATTGTACAAGAGAAGATTATTTGTTTTCTTTTTTTTTGTTTTTTGTTTTTTGTTTTTTTTTTTGAGACAGAGTCTTGCTGTGTCCCCCAGGCTGGAGTGCAGTGGTGCAATCTCGGCTCACTGCAAGCTCCACCTCCTGGGTTCACACCATTCTCCTACCTCAGCCTCCCAAGTAGCTGGGACTACAGGCGCCCACCACCATGCCCGGCTAATTTTGGTATTTTTAGTAGAGACGGAGTTTCACTGCGTTAGCCAGGATGGTCTTGATCTCCTGACCTCGTGATCTGGCCGCCTCGGCCTCCCAAAGTGCTGGCATTACAGGCGTGAGCCAGCGTGCCCAGCCGAAGATTATTCTTTTTTAAAAAATCTAGGTAGATGTTTAATTTCCTGGTTGACAGTTGTTATTGTATTTTTTATTTTTATTGATTTATTTATTTAGAGACAGGAACTCACTCTGTCACCCAGGCTGGAGTGCAGTGGCATGATCTCAGCTCACTGCAACCTCTCCCTCCCAGATTCAAGTGATCCTCCCACCTCAGCCTTCCAAGTAGCTGGCACTACAGGCATGCACCAGCACACCTGGCTAATTTTTGCATTTTTAGTAGAGATGGGGTTTCACCATGTTGGCCAGGCTGGCCTCAAACTCCTGGTTTCAAGTGATCTGCCCACCTCGGCCACTCAAACTGCTGGGATTACAGACATAAACCACCACACGCAGCCCTGGTTGACAATTGGTTGAGTTTATCTAAATACCTGGGATCAAGAGAAAGGAATATCTGGGTTAAGGATTGTGGAGACTCAAGTTCTTATTTGCAGAGGAAGCTTTCAGGTAGTAGGCTTCAGAGAGAACAGGTTGTAAAATGTTTCTTATCAGACTTACAGTCTATGTTGATGTCAATGCCAGAAAGGTATAATGAGGCATGTCTGACTCCCACTTTCAGTCATGGCCTGAACCAGTCTCTCAGGTTACATTTTAAAAGAGCCCTGGCTGAGAAGAAAGTCCATTCAGATAGTTAGGGGGGGGCCTTAGAATATTATTTTTGGTTTATATTCATATTTCCAGAGCCTAGCACCATAACTGACACTACACTGGTCTTCAGAAATTAAATTTTATTACTATTTTATTTTATTTTATTATTTTTGAGATGGAGTCTTGCTTTGTCACCAGGCTGGAGTGCAGTGACGCAATCTTGGCTCACTGCAACCTGTGCCTCCCGGGTTCAAGTGATTCTCCCGCCTCAGCCTCCTGAGTAGCTGGGACTACAGGCACGCGCCACCACACCCAGCTAATTTTTGTATTTTTAGTAGAGGCGGGGTTTCACCACATTGGCCAGGATGGTCTCCATCTCTTGACCTCATGATCCGCCCGCCTCAGCCTCCCAAAGTCCTGGGATTACAGGCGTGAGCCACCGCGCCCAGCCGGTCTTCAGAAATATTTCTTGACTATTTGAGTGAATGATTCCTTGGTTTCCCTACCTAAAAAATGTAGCATTTTCCTTCTCCATTCTCATTATACTGTTTCAATAATTTTTCTTCTTCTCCTCCTTCCTTCCTTCCAATTTTACCTCCATCCAATGTACACAAGATATGTTCACTCCACTAGTTAAAACAAACAGAGCAGGTATGGTTGCTCATGCCTGTAATCCCAGCATTTTGGGAGGCCAAGGTGGGAGGATAGCTTGCGCTCAGGAGTTCAAAACCAGCCTGGGCTACATAGCGAGACCCTATCTCTATTAAAAATAATAATAATAATAATAATAATAATAATAATAATAATAATTAGCTCAGCATGGTGGCCCAAGCCTGACCTGTAGTCCCAGCAGTTTGGGAGGCTGAGGCAGGAGGATCACTTGAGCCCAGGAGTTCAAGACCAGCTGGGCAACATAGGGAGACTCGTCTCTACAAATAATAAATACATTAATTAAATAAAACAAACAGAATTTCACTGACTCACCTTGGCTAAGGGATCAAATCAAAACCCCTCGGTTTGATACCAAATGCCATTCATGATCAGGACTCCACCTGTCTTTGCAGCCTCAACTTCCTTCACTCAATTTCTTCACATTGTTTTTTTCTAGCAACAAAAAATTTCTCCTAATTCCCTGGACACACAATATTCTATTCAAATTTCTGTAAATTTGTTTAGGTCGCCCTTCCCCCATCCTATAATCCTGGGAAGGTGTGGGAGTTTTTTGCTGTATCTCAGCACTTGTCCATCCTATAGCCACCTCATCATAACTCCCCAAGGAGGACTACTTATTAATACCTCTGTATCTCTTGATACTGCATCATTTGTGTATTTGTGTTTGGGAGTGGACAGTATTATTTAAAATATTTTTTCTGGAATAGATAACTAATTGCCCCAAAATAATTTACTGAATAATCCATTATTCCTTCCTTAATTTGAAATGTTACCTTTATTATAAAATAAACGCTTGGATATGTATATACCAGATCCATGTCTGGAGTCTGCATTATTTTTTCATTGATCCATTTGTTGATTTCTGCATGTCAAGTGCCAAATGTTTTACATTATTATAGCTCTTTACAGTGTGTCTTGATATCTAGTAGGCCAATCTTATGAGGAAAAACAATGTTATTTTTGCTTTATTTTGCGTATCCCATAGGGCCATTAAGATTGAACCATCCTTTCATTTTGCTTGGTCTCAAGTTTTCTCTTTTGAGGATGCCCAATTCATATCCTTTAATCATTTGTCAATTACATATATTGGAGAATTCCTTCTTCCAGGTATTTCAACTTTATTTACAGTGTCATTCATATGAATGAAGCTTTTCATCTGGATGCAGTTAAATTTTCAATCTTTCCTTCTATGGCTTTTAATTTTAATAACTTGCTAAAAGGTTTCCTTCCCCTCCCTCAAAAGTTGTAAAACTATTCTCCCAGACTTTCTTCATTATTTTTCATATTTAGGTCACTAATCCATCTAGACAGGGGGATAAAAATGTCCAGGGATGAGATATTTCTCTGCCAATTCAGATGGGACAGCAGTGTAGGGTGCCTGGACCTTAGAGAATTCAGTCACCCCTGCCGTGTGTGAAGGGTGACTGTAATGAAGAAAGGAATGCCTTCTGAACATCCAGTTGACTGTAAGTTCTTCATGAATTTACATAAACTACTCACATCTGAACAAAGATCTTCTGGTACTGTCTTCTGGATTCCTTATCTGTGCGTGAGGGGCTAACAGTAAGATGTTTAGTGTTGAGCTGTTGGTGGCCAGGTACAGCCTCTAACTATAATCCCAGCACTTTGGGAGGCTGAGGTGGAAGGATTACTTAAGGCTGGGAGTTTGAGATCTGCCTGGGCAACATAGTGAAGCACCGTCTCTATTAAAAAAAAAAAAAATAGTGTGGAGTTGGAAGACATAGGACACTAAGTAACAGGCTGGGCTCCAAGCAGGGTTGTAGAAGACATGAAACTAAAACCTAGCTCCCTGTAGTCTGTTGACTGAAGCCATTTTGCCTCTCCAACATTTCTTGTAGCATGAATAATTTCTCCAATATCTCCCTCGTTGCAGATTTAATACCTAAATAGAAATACTGAAAAACGGCAGCCTAAAATTGGGGAAGTTCTTGAAACTTTTGGTAAGGTAGGCTGGGTATGGTGGCTCACACCTGTAATCTCAGCACTTGGGGAAGCCAAGGCAGGTGGATCACCTGAGGTCAGGAGTTTGAGACCAGCCTGGTCAACATGGCGAAACCCCATCTCTACTAAAAATACAAAAAATTAGCTGGGTGTGGTGGCATGTGACTGTAGTCCCAGCTACTAGAGAGAGTGTGGCAGGAGAATCACTTGAACCCAGAAGGCCAAGGTTGCAGTGAGCTGAGATTGCGCCATTGCACTACAATCTGAGCAATAGAGTGAGACTCTGTCTCAAAAAAAAAAAAAAGTTTTGGTATGGTAAAGGCTTGATCAGAACTGTACTTGAAAAAGATGATCCTGTTATTTGTCAGACAGATTCAATAAAGGGACTGCATGTGGGCTGAAGTGGCAGGAAGTAGGAAGGAGTGACTGACTCATGAGACAGTGGAGATGAAGCCATGATTTAATCTAGAAGGATTAGATATTGTATTACCCAATCAGTAGAACTCTTGACAGCTGATTAGTCTGCAATCTTTATATGATATGGGGGAAGTCAAAGCAAGGAATCTGGGTACAAGGTAGAAAGAAAGTGCTGTTCACATAGAGTAGGCCGGGCGAGGTGGCTCATACTTGTAATCCCAACACTTTGGGAGGCCGAGGCAGGCAGATCACCTGAGGTCAGGAGTTCGAGACCAGCCTGGCCAACATGGTGAAACCCCGTCTCCACAATTAGCCAAGCGTGGTGGTGCACACCTGTAATCCAAGCTACTCAGGAGGCTGAGACAGGGGAATCACTTGAAGTGGGGAGGCAGAGGTTGCAGTGAGCCGAGATCGCAACACTGCACTCCAGCCTGGGCAACAAGAGCAAAACTCCATCTCAAAAAAAAAAAAAAAAAAAAAAAAAACCACAGACAGGGTAGCCTTGGTGAGGATGGACTCTGTGGATAATGATAATGGACTTCTTGTCTTTGAGGTGTGAGTAATCTTTGGTAAAGGTGACCAACTGGGAAGAGGTGAGGGCTGAAGAGATTATTTTAGTCAGCTGAAGGTGAAAATTGAATCTGATAGGTACTGAAAACACAAAGAAGATAATAAGCAAAACTTATTCTAGGAGAGAAGAAAGAAAAGGAAAGCTGAGAAAACAAGGAGTTATTCAGAAGGAGGAGAAGAATAAAGAGGGTGGTGTGATCAAGGATGATAAGGACTAAGAAAACACCAATTGTTACAATTGTTACTGTTAATCTTGATATTCAAGAGCACTGTGGTCTACCTGGGAAATGGATTTCCTCACATATTCTGAAATTCATTCTTTAAGACTTTATATCCCAAGATACTCACGTAAAAAATGAGGAAAGAGAACCTTGGTTGGTTCCAGAGTGCCCTCTCTGGAACTGGAACACTCAGCTGCCAATTGTTTTCCAGTATTCCTCACCCACTTGGGCATGACAGGACCCTGTGCTGTTTCTTCTTCTTTGAAATAAGGACAATAGTTTACTGCCTAGGATTGTTTTAAGAATTAAATTAGTTAATTATTGTATAGTACTTAGAACAATGCCTTGAACATAGTAGGTGTTCAATAAATACCAGCTACAGTATAGTAACTTTTTTTTTTTTTTTTTGACGGAGTCTCACTCTATAGCCCAAGCTGAAGTGCAGTGATTGGATCTCGGCTCACTGCAACCTCCGCCTCCGGTGCTCAAGCAATTCTCGTGCCTCAGCCTCCCAAGTAGTTGGGACTATAGACACGCGCCACCACCCCCAGCTAATTTTTTGTATTTTAGTAGAGACAGGGTTTCACCATGTTCTCCAGGGTGGTCTCGAACTCCTGAGCGATCCACCCACCTCGGCCTCCAAAAGTGCCAGGATTATAGGCTTGAGCCACTGCGCTTGGCCAGTAACCCATTTTTAAGGCCCAGGTGAAATAGTTTTTCTATTTCTATGATTTTCTATTTCTATGATTAAATAGTGTTTAATCAGACACTTCAGCTGCATATACCTCCCACAGCTCATTGATGATACAACAGTTCGCACAGGGCCTGGCACACATGCTAAAGGCTCAGCAGTATTGATAATCACCCACACTTACAAAGCACTATGGGCCAGACACTGCTGTGCTTTCTTTACAGATATCAACTCATTTAACCCACCCTAAAAACCCTGAGGTTCCCAAAACTGGCATATCCTCATGTTACAGATACAGAAACTAAGACACAGCCGGGCTAAGTAATTAATCTAAGCTTACACAAATAGCCGAGACAGAGCCAGGACTTAAATCCAGGCAGCCTGTTTCACAGTCCCTGCTCATAACCATGGTGCTGTATAGTTCCAAACATCTTAACTAATGAGGACAGCATTATTTCTCAAGGTGCACAGCACAGAGAACTTCAAAAATTAGACTCTTAGTAAAACACCATCTTTTTTTTTTTTTTTTGAGACAGGGTCTTGCTGTGTTGCCCAGGCTGGAGTGCAGTGGCGTGATCTGGGCCCACTGCAACCTGCACCTCTCAGGTTCAAGAGAGTCTTGTCTCAGCCTCTGGAGTTGCTGGGACTACAGGCAGGCACCACCGCGCCCAGCAAATTTTTTGTATTTTTAGTACAGACGGGGTTTCACCATGTTGACCACGCTGGTCTCAAACTCCTGACCTCAAGTGATCTGCCCGACTCGGCCTCCCAAATTGCTGGAATTTATTCCAACACCTCATTCATTCATTCATTCATTCGAGACAGAGTCTAGCTATGTTACCCGGGCTGGTCTCAAACTCCTGGGCTCAAGGGATCTTTCTACCTCAGCCTCCCAACGTGCTGAGATTACAGGGACACGCCACCGCGCCAGCCCGAACATCTTTATCTTAAACCCAGAAAAGTGACAGGAGTGTCTCCCCTACAAGATGATGACCAGCCCTCCAGACCTGAGCCCAGGTGTGATTCCAAGGCCCCTGTACTGGGGCCAGACAGGGAGACTCGCTCTCAGGGACTTCCCAACCAGCACCATCTTCTCCCTGCGGGGATGGCGAGGGAGCGCGGGCCGGCCCCGGCCCTGCCTCCGCGCTCGCGCTCGACGGTGTCCTGAAGCGCGCTCCCGGGGAGGTGTTGCAGCCATGGCTACGGCAGCCGGCGCGACCTACTTTCAGCGAGGCAGTCTGTTCTGGTTCACAGTCATCACCCTCAGCTTTGGCTACTACACAGTAAGGACAGCCGCTGGAGCGCTACGGTCTGACGAACGAGCGAGCGCTCGGTTCACCCCAGGACCTGGGCTCACAGGCCGCGGGCCGGGGGAAGTCGTGCAAGCACAATCCCGACTCCCGCGCGCTAGGAGCGGAGGGGAGGGGACCAGACTCCGCAATGAGAGCAAGCATACTGGTCCGCCAGGGTCTTGGGCGGGCGCCCAGGGCCCTGAGAAACCGGCTAGCCAGGCTTTTCTTATATGGGGGCGGGGACGGCTGGGGAGCTCCCAGCCAACTCTGTGTCTGGGTTTTTCAAGAGGATGGTGAAGTCGGAGGCCAGCAATGCGGCTACCGCCTATTTCCGTCCAGCAAGACCCTTGCCCTCTCTGGTCACAGTCCTGGGGCTGGGCTACTTCGCGGTGAGGCGTGGGGTGGGGCGGGGCGGGCCTCTGTTTTGGCCCGCCGGGCCCTCGTAGGGCGAGGGGAGCTCTGGGAACGGGGCCTGTGCGCACGCGCATCTGACGGTTGTCTCGGTTACTCATGTAAGCGGAAATTCGGTGGGCTCTTAGGATAGTTTCTGCTTTCTAGTGTTCCTGTCTTTGGGTCCTCACCTCTGCATGGTTACTAACGGGTTATCCGAGCCTAAGCCTCTCACGAAGCGGAAAGTCAAGTTAACAGACTGCCATAGGCCTGCCAAGTCAGAATAGGGCTTCCGAAGCAGAATGTTTGAGCCAATAGGAATTGTTTGGAAAACGGGGATAAATCTAAAGGATGGGTAGGATTTAAGTGGTAAGGGAGGATAAAGAGGCTATAACTGTTCTGACATAGGTGTGGAAGCAAGAAGAAAGCTGTACCTAGAAAAAGAGCGACGTTTGTTTGGCTGAGAAATAATCTGTTTAAAGGATAACGAGAAAGATGCGTGGAAAAGTAGGTTGGGGGCTAAGGTGGTAGTTTTGTGTTTTTTTGAGACGGAGTCTCGCTCTGTCACCCAGGCTGGAGTGCAGTGGGGCGATCTCGGCTCACTGCAACCTCTGCTTCCCAGGTTCAAGCGATTCTCATGTCTTTACCTGTAGCTGGGATTACACTATGCCCAGCTATTTTTTTGTGTTTTTAGTAGACATGGGTATTGGTGAGGCTGGCCTCGAACTCCTAACGTCAAGTGATAAGGTGGTAAAATTTTGAAGGAAGGCGAAGCTATTTGGGTATACCAATAGATCCTGGAGATTGGAGATTTGTCTTGTCCACAGTGTTGTTTGTTGGTGTCAAATCTGACAACCTATGTCCTGATTTCCCCATATGTACAATGGAGGTGTTGAACTGAAAATTTTCAAAGGTGCATTTCTGTTCTACGATTTAGTGTCTGTGACTAGTTAGAATATAGTTGGAGGAAAGCTTTGGGGACTTCAAATTGGGATCTTGTGGAGCTGGCAGATGCTCCCCTTTCCCTTTGGTTTGGGAGGATGCAGTGATATTTGTGCATTATTTAACTTTCAGATGTGAAACAACATCGTGAGAGAGGTAGTACTGCTCTTGACAAAGATTTGAATGGGACAATACATTTTGAAACTGTTGAGTTATTCTCAGAAAAGTCTTAGCTGACAGAAGTTACAATACAGAGGCTGAAAGTTAAGATTACGAAAAATTTATGTGATTAAGCAGTTGCTATTAAAATGTCACAACCTTATCTCACTTATTTTCCATCTCTATGCAGTGGATCATTCTCAGTTTTAGCCGTACAAAAAGGGAAAGCCGAGAAAGGAATTCTAAATTAAACAGAGGTTTGGCTGGAGCCAGTTTCTGCAGTAAAGAAACTAGCCAAAGCACATAAACTCAAAATTTGCTAATATCTTTTATAAAATAATGGTTTTGGTGGAATGTATTAATAGGAGTCAGCCAGGCATGGTGGTTCACCCCTGTAATCCCAGCACTTTGGGAGGCCGAGGCGGGCAAATCGCTTGAGCCCAGGAGTTCGAGACCATCCTGGGCAACATGGCAAAACCTCATCTCTACACACACACACACACACAAAATTAGCCATGGGCAGTGGCTCACACCTGTAATCCCAGCACTTTGAGAAGCCGAGAAGGGCGGATCACCTGATGTCAGGAGTTGGAGATCAGCCTGGCCAACATGGTGAAACTCTGTCTGTATTAAAAATACAAAAATTAGCTGGGCGTGGTGGCATGCACCTGTAGTCCCAGCTACTCTGGAGGCTGAGACAGGAGAGTCGTTTGAATCCGCGAGGCGGAGGTTACAGAGAGCCGAGATCGTGCCACTGCACTCCAGCCTAAGCGACAGAGTGAAACTCCATCTAAAATAAATAAATAAATAAATAAATTAGTCAGTCGTGGTAGCCATGCCTGTATTCCAGCTACTTGGGGAAGCTGAGTTGGGAGGATCGCTTGAGCCCGGGAAGTCAAGGGTGCAGTGAGCCGTGATCAGGCCACTGCACTCAAGCCTGGGTGACAAAGCGAGATCCCTTCTCTACAAAGAAAACAAAAGAAGAAAAGGAAGAAAAAAAGACTTTAAGAGTCATCCACCGTGGGCACTGAGTCTGATAACCACATACTTTCCTCAGCATAAGTCTCCCAGTAGAGTTGCTTTTAGAAAATAGAAGTCATCCTGGCACAGTAGGTCATGCCTGTAATCCCAGCACTTTGGGAGGCCAAGATTGGAGAATTGCTTGAGCCCTGGAGTTGGAAACCATCCTGGGCAACATAGTGAGACCCCATCTCTATATACAATTTTTAAAAGTAGCTGGGCATGGTGGCACACACGTGTAGTCCCATCTACTTGGGAGGCTGAGGTGGGAGGATGGATTGAGCCCAGATGGTGGAGGCTGCAGTGAGTCATGATCATGCCACTGCACTCCAGCCCCAGCAGCGGAGTGAGACCCTGTCAAAAAAAAAAGAAAGAAAGAAAATAGAAGCCAAGAATGGAGACCCAAATGACTGTTCAGAGTTTCTTCGGTCTGTGGTAATTTTTTTACTGTTTCACAGCCTTTCTCAAAAACAAAAACAAAAAACAGGTTTTAAGTGACCTAATAGGTATTCTGTGTCTCTGCTTCTCTTTCAGTGGGTTGTCTTCTGGCCTCAGAGTATCCCTTATCAGAACCTTGGGCCCCTGGGCCCCTTCACTCAGTACTTGGTGGACCACCATCACACCCTCCTGTGCAATGGGTAAGGAGAGCTGCACAAGTGGACTGTGGACACTGGAGCTCTGGTCTCATGGGAAACCTGGAAGGCCTGCAGCTGCCTTTTGGTATCTAAGAGTAGTGTCGGTTCACCTTAAGGCACTTTTCTTTTTGAGATTGCTGTGTTAGATTTCATCAGCAGATAACTATCACCTTAAAAAAGATTAACCTTTTTTTTGGTTTCAGGTATTGGCTTGCCTGGCTGATTCATGTGGGAGAGTCCTTGTATGCCATAGTATTGTGCAAGTAAGTCTTTGAAGTAGGTGTTTGTTGCCTTTCTCTTAGTAGCTAATATAAATTGAGAGCAGCCACATTTAAATAGTTCACACACTTGTAGGCTGAGAATATTCTCAGGGTAGAGCGGAATCCCCATGCCTGATACTGAGCCTGGAGCAGAGGCAGTACCCAGTAAATGTTTGATGAATGCATTCATTTTGTTTATGTTGGTTAACCAATTACTTAGTTATCTAATTCAGATGACTTTTGTTATTTTTTAACAAATTTTCTGGGTAGCCCCAACTAGATCAAAAGACTAGGAATAGGAGCCTGGCTTCTAGTTTACAAAAGAGCTAAGTGACTGACCTAGGCCGATGACTCACAATCCTCGTTTTACAATTGAGCCACCTGAGGAGCTTTTTCAAAATACACACGTCTGGTTTCCAGACCCAGAGATTCTGATTGGGTAAGTCTTGCCTCAGAGATAGGAATGTGCTCTTTTTAAAAGCTCCACAGATAATTCTAGGATGCAATGCTAGTTAAAAGCCCCCAAACCAGACCCCACTCAGGAGATGCTAGTATAGGTTAATGCTATGTGAGAATACAAGAAAAAATTATGTTTGTACTTTATATAAGCATATACAGAAAGTATGGTACAATGAAAAACATGGTTATGGAAATGCCAAATTGCTTCTTTCCAATTAATTTCTGGTCAAGATAATAATTAATTGAATTAATTTCTGGTCAAGATATACTATCACCTCTATTATTTTTCTATTCTAAAAGTGGAAAATAAGATACTGTATTGCTATTACTATGTTTCAATAATAAAAATAATATTGATTGGGTACTGCTATGTCAGAGACTGCTAAGTATGTTAAATAGAATGATCTTACTCTGTTTTCTTGTTTATTAAACAAATAAGCTAGACTTTTTTTTTTTTTTTTTTTGAGAGGGAATCTTGCTTTGTCACCCAGGCTGGAGTGCAGTGGCGCAATCTTGGCTCCCTGCAATCTCTACGTCCTGGGTTAAAACGATTCTGCCTCAGCTTCCCCAGTAGCTAGGATTACAGAAGCCCACCACCATGCCTGGCTAATTTTTGTATTTTTATTAGAGACGGGGTTTCACCATGTTGGCCATGCTAGTCCCGAACTCCTGACCTCTCAGGTGATCCGCCTGCCTTCGCCTCCCAAAGTGCTGGGATTATAGGCATGAGCCACTGTGCCTGGCCACAAGCTAGACTTTCTATGAAGAGGAGCAGAAAGTAACTTTATTCTTTCTTTCTCACCCCTCTCCAAGTAAATTTGTTTTGTAGATCGTTCCCCACCTTCCACCGTATCTCTGGATGGAATTTCAAACAGATCGTAGGATTTCCAGTCACCATCTGATATTATCTATTCTAGCCCAGTCTATTGTTAAAACTATAAACTTTCTTCTAATTCAAAATGTCTGTTTTCATCCAGCTGGGGCTCAGGAGCCTGCAGTGGGGAGAAGGGTGCAGTTGATATCTTCTCTTGCACTTCACCTTCTCCTCTATTCACTAATAATCGCTGCTTGTGGTCCCTTGGGATAGTGGGAATAGTTAGGGAGAACAAGGCTCAGCCTTAAATAGCTGCTGCTGGCCAGGTGCAGTGGCTTACACCTATAATCCTAGCACTTTAGGAGGCCAAGGTGGGCAGATCATTTGAGACCAGGAGTTTGAAACCATCCTGGCCAACATGACAAAACCCCATCTCTACTAAAAATACAAAAAATACTAAAAAAGCCAGGCATGGTGGTGCGTGCCTGCAGTCCCAGCTGCTCAGGAGGCTGAGGCACGAGAATCGCTTGAATCCGGGAGGCAGAGGCTGCAGTGAGCCGAGATCGCACCACTGCACTCTAGCCTGGGTGACAGAGCAAGACCCTTTCTCAAAAAAAATAAAAGTTAAAAAAAAACAATAAACAGCTGCTGCCTTGTGATCAGGCAGCTAGGTACTGTGTATATTGCATATCCAGTATTGGCTCTTTCTCTCTAGAGGGGATGTGGTAGATTTTTGAGACACTACTCATCACCAGGGATCTCCCTTCTGCAGTTTCCTTGATGGTTCATTCAGACACCCCCTCCAGCATGCCACTTGCAGTTTCACCCTCAGAGTCTGTGTTCTAGGGAGAATTACCCTTTTATTGAGATCACTTCCGTCCTTCAGGTGGGTCTGTGGTACAGGGTCCCTTTTAAACCTACTCATGTTCAGTGCCTTCTCCAGGATCTGTATGGCTCACAGTAAACAACTTCCGTATCCCTCCAGTGGGATAATCTACAAGTGCATGCAGTTATCAGTGTGGCGGTGCTTCCTTCTCTCCCAGCAAGCAGACCAAACAGTGTTTACTCTTTGGAATCAGATATTAAACCCTTCCCCAAATTCCAGAGACTCATGTCAAGCTCTACAAATGGTTCTGTTGAGGCCATTCTCTGGGCTTGACTTGTGGGAAATGCCACAGCCCACTAGGACCTCTTTCCAATGGCCTCTGCAGCATCGCAGTAGAATCTCAGATTGGAAGTGTCCGGTCCAGCCCCTCAACTTGGAATGTAGGAGTGCGTGACACCTATTTTGTTGTTGGCATTTGGAGTATCTGATGAAAACCAAAATACAAAAATTTTTATTTTTATTTTTATTTATTTTTTTCTTTTTTGAGACGGAGTTTCGCTCTGTCGCCAGGCTGGAGTGCAGTGGTGCAATCTCAGCTCACTGCAACCTCTGCCTCCCTGGTTCAAGCGATTGTCTGGCCTCAGCCTCCCAAGTAGCTGAGATTACAGGCGCCCGCCACCAAGCCTACTTTTTGTATTTTTAGTAGAGACAGAGTTTCACCATGTTGGCCAGGATGGTCTTGATCTCTTGACCTCGTAATCCGCCCACCTCGGTTTCCCAAAGTGCTGGGATTACAGACGTGAGCCACCGCACCCGGCCCTCAAATTTAATATACAATTTTTTTGAAGGGCAGAGGGAGAACAGGCATAGAGGTTAGGTTACTCTTATGTTCTTGAAATCATTTATGGTCTAACATGTTAGAATGTATCATTAGTCACTATGAATCAGAATAAATATTCCTTTTGAATTATGAGATGAGTTGGGTACGGTGGCTCATGCCTGTAATCTCAGCACTTGGGGAGGCTGAGGCAGGCGGATCACCTGAGGTCAGGAGTTCGAGACCAGCGTGCCCAACATGGTTGAAACTCTGTCTCTACTAAAAATATGAAAAAAAAAATTAGCTGGGTGTGGTGGCACATACCTGTTACCCCAGCTACTCAGGAGGCTGAGGCAGGAGAATCGCTTGGACCTGGGAGGCGGAGGTTGCGGTGAGCTGAGATCGTACCACTACACTTTAGCCTGGGCGACAAAGTGAGACTCTGTCTCAAAAAAAAAAAAGACAAGAAAAAGAAAGTGCCATTTTTGGTGAGGTGAGGGGGCAAAAAACCTTTTGCTATTTTGGTAGATTAAAAAGGGTATCTAGCCATTTTAACCTGTATTTATTTGATTACAAAGTAAGGTTCAACTCTTCTTTGAAAGGTGCTGTAATTCTTGTTACATAACAATACTTTAACAAGAAAAATAGAATGTTTTTTCCTTAGGGATAAATAAAATAGTATCTCTTTGAGGCCAATATTCATGTTCATTGTTACCTTTTTATAGTCTGGAGTTCCATTCAGAATATATGGCTTATTCTCTTAGTTCAGAAATTAGATTCTTGCTGCTTGCATACCCCAGTTGGCTCTGCAGCCCTTAGAAAGGTTTTTAAGGTTTTGCAAAAATTTGTATGTAGAGTAGATTTTATTACAGTGTAGAAACAGAAAAGAAGTTCTTGACAAGTAGAAGTACTCTGTGACAGGGCAGCCTCGAATGACCAAAACAGGTAAATTGTGAAATTTTTCAAGTATCAGAGGTAACATTTTTTCTTAAGGCAGGAAAAAGTGTACTCACAAAGAGATTTTTGCATCTGCTTGGGTCTTGGTGGAATCATTAAGGGAAATGTGAATTAAATTAAGAAAACTTTCTTAAAAGACTTTTGTCTTTTAAATAGGCAAAATGAGCTAAGAATACGGATAAAGGTATGTGAATGAGAACAAGTTATGATGACCCCAGGAAAACCCTTCTCCGGGTTACCTAGCCACCAACTGTGACCCTTCTGAAGGAGGAGGAAACAAGCACTGCTGTTCAGTGAGCCTGCTCTTCCAAGATGGCAACTCATCTTTATTTTTCTTTACTAAATATCATACACATTTACAGGATCATATAAATTTACTTTCCAAAACAAAATATTTTTGTTGTTTTGCCTATTTCAAAACAAACATGTTTGTTTTTAAAAGTTAATAATGTTGTGCTAAAAACTCAGCTAATAAAATTGAAAGTTGGCTGGGCGCGGTGGCTCACGCCTGTAATCTCAGCACTTTGGGAGGCCAAGGCGGACGGATCACCAGGTAAGGAGTTTGAGACCAGCCTGGCCAATATGGTGAAACCCCGTCTCTACTAAAATACAAAAAATTAGCCGGGCATGGTGGCGGGCACCTGTAGTCCCAGCTACTCAGGAGGCTGAGGCAGGAGAATCACTTGAACCCAGGAGGTGGAGGTTGCAGTGAGCCGAGATCGCACGACTGCACTCCAGCCTGGGCAACACAGCAAGACTCCATTTCAAAAAAAAAAAAAAAATTGAAAGTTGCTGGGCATGGTGGCTGATGCCTATAATCCAATTATATATATATACATATAGATATAATCTCTTTCATAATTGGTTTCCATTGTTATATATGCCTGTTTTAAATTTTATTTTGTTTTTTAAGAGATGGGTCTCACTCTATTGCCCAGGCTGGCCTTGAGCACCTGTGCTCAAGTGATCCTCCTGCCTCAGCCTCCCAAGTAACTGGGACTACAGGTGTGCCACTGTACTGGGCTAACATATCCCTATTTGTCTATGTCTATACATATAAACTTACCCATCCATTAATAACAGTGCATAGTATTCTGTTACATAGATGTGCCTTAACGTATTTAAAAAATCTTTCTTCTGATGGACTTTTAAGTCTCTACTTTTTTACTATTACAAGCAATATGGCAGTGAACATTAATTTCTTGCATTTGTCCCACTTTGGTATTTGTTCCCTTAGAAAAAAATTCCAAGATCTGGAATTTGAAGATTAAAGAATGAATACTTTTGGCTGGGTGTGGTGGCTCACACCTGTAATTCCAGCACTTTGAGAGGCTGAGGCTGGTGGATCACCTGAAGTTAGGAGTGCGATACCAGCCTGGCCAACATGGTGAAACCCTGTCTCCACTAAAAATACAAAAAAAAAAAAAAATTAGCAGGGCGTGGTAGCGGGCACCTGTAATCCCAGCTACTCAGGAGGCTGAGGTAAGAGAATAGCTTGAATCTGGGAGGCGGAGGTTGCAGTGAGCTGAGATCACACCACTGCACTCTAGCCTGGGCAACAGAGCAAGACTCTGCCTAAAAATAAAACGAATGACTACTTTAAATTAAATGATATGTATTGCCATATTGCCTTCAAAAGTATGGAACTAATTTATTCTTCTAACATAAATATATGATAGTGCCCATTTCCCCACAATCTCACCAATACTCTTCAAATGGGCTGTCTGTCCTATTCTTACCTGTTTATAGGCACTCCTTGTTTTTTATGATCTTGAGTACTTTGTCCTTTAGGTGTCTTGCAAATATCCTTTCTCACGGTCTTTTTATTCTGTTGGGCCTTTTGATAAACAGAAGTTTATCAATGTAGTCAGTTTTATTAATTTATTGATATTAAAGTTATATTCTTTTACAGTATCTTCTAACAGTTTTAGAATTTTTTTCTTTCACATTTAAGTTTTCAGTCTACTTAGATCTTATTTTTTTTTAAGATCTTTACCTTTTCCATCTGGATGCCGTTATCCCAGAGCTACTTATTGAGACATTCAGTCTTCACTGATGTGCCCTATCTTATATCATACATACTGATATGTGTGGATCTATTTCTGAACACTCTATTCTGTTCCATTGGCCTGTTTATCCTTGGGCTAACACAACACTGTCTTAATAGCAGCAGCTTTATAATCATTGTTATCTGACAAAGCATCTCCTCTCATCTTGTTCAATAGGATTGCCTTTGCCTACACCTTTGCATATTCTGTGCATTGTCTTGTGCCACAAAAACAAAAAATAAAGATGTTGAGATTTTCATTGGATTGACCATGTGAAATAATTTGGAGAATATTGGCATATTTCCATTATGTTTTTTTTCTTTTTTTTTTCCTTAAGGTCAGGAAAGCATCAAATATTTCTATTATTGAGTCTTCTAAATGATGAAATGATCTGTTTCCATTTATTTAGATCTCCTTTAATATATATATAATTTTTAAGAGGTTTTACACATTGTTGTTACATTAATTTCCAGCAACTTCTACTTTGAGATGTTATTATAAATGACTTTTTTTTAAAAAAAGATGGAGGGTCTCCAGGAGGCTGAGGCAGGAGAATGGCATGAACCCGGGAGGCCCCGGAGCTTGCAGTTAGCTGAGATCATGCCACTGCACTCCAGCCTGGGCGACAGAGCAAGACTCCGTCTCAAAAAAAAAAAAAAAAGATAGGGTATCATTATGTTGCCAAGGCTGATGTCAAACTCCTGGGCTCAAGCGATCCACCTGCGTCGGTCTCCCAAAGTGCTGGAATTACAGGCCTGAGCCACCACACCTGGCCAACTTTTGTTGTTGTTTTTGTTTTTGTTTTTTGAGATGGAGTCTAGCTCTGTCGCCCAGACTGGAGTTCAGTGGCATGATCTTGGCTCCCTTTGTTTCATTTCATTTTCTAATTGTCTGATGGTACTTTGTATGAATATAGTCAATTTTTTATATTGACCTTATACCCAGCAATCTTGCTAAATAAATTTATTAATTGTAACAGTTTATAGATTATTTTCAGTTTTTAGGTATAAAACTGTCCAGAAATACAGTTTTATTTCTTTCTTTCAATTCTGTATACCTTTTATTTATGTTTCTTCCCTTATTCTACTAGCTAGAACTTCCAGCAGTGCTGACTAGAAGTGTGCCTTGTTCTTGACCTCAAAGGAGAACTTTCAACATTTTGCATCATGTTTATTATAGAGTTTTGTAGATCTCCTGTGTCAAAATTAGGAAGTTCCATTGTATTTCTAACTTTGCTGAGAAGTTTTATTAAAAATGGATGTTGGATGTGGATGCAGGTGGCTCACACCTGTAATCCCAGCACTTCGGGAGGCTGAGGTGGGAGAATCAGTTGAAGCCAGGAGTTCAAGACCAGCCTGGGCAACAAAGCAAGACACTGTCTCTACAAAAAACAAACAAAAAACCTAGCCAGGCATGGTGGTGCGTGCCTGTGATGATCCCAGCTACTTGGGAAGCTAAGGTGGGAGGATAGCTTTAGCCCAGGAGTTTGAGGCTGCAGTGAGCTATAATTGTACCAGTACACTCCACTGTAGGTGACAGAGTGAGACCCCATCTCTGGGGGGGTTGGAAAAAGAATGGATGTTGAAATTTGTCAAATGCAGCCGGGCGTGGTGGCTCACGCCTGTAATACCAGCACTTTGGGAGGCCGAGGTGGGTGGATCACGAGGTCAAGAGATCGAGACCATCCTGGCTAACACAGTGAAACCCCATCTCTACTAAAGAAATACAAAAAATTAGCCAGGCGTGGTGGCGGGCTCCTGTAATCCCAGCTACTCGGGAGGCTGAGGCAGGAGAATGGCATCAACCCGGGAGGCAGAGCTTGCAGTGAGTCAAGATCGCGCCACTGCACTCCAGCCTGGGTGACAGAGCGAGACTCCATCTCAAAAAAAAAAAAAAAAAGAAATTTGTCAAATGCCACTTCTGCATTTATTAAGATATTCATATGATCTTTCTGTTTTAATCTGTTACTGTAGAAAATTATATTGCTTTTACATATATTGTTTTTAAAGTTTGTTTTAAATAAAAGTCATCCAAGTGAGACTTATTTATGTACAGATGAGACTGTAGCAAGCCATTCCCTTCCATTGGGTCATCTTTTTTTTGCACTTCATTTTAGGCAGTTGAATTTGAATGACAATATAAGCAGGTGTTTATCATGACTGTGTGCCAGGCTCCTTCCTGAGCATGTTGTGTGTATTATCCCATAAATCATCTCAACTGACTCAGTGAGATAGCTACTGCTGTTCCTGTTTTTCAGATGAGAAAACTGATTCTGAGAGATTCTGAGTGATTTGCCCAGGTCACAGCTGGTAGGTAGCCACGCTAGGATTTATATCTGGTCTATTTGCAAAACATTTGCTCTGAAACCATACCAGTGCTTTTTACTCCATCCGCTCATCAGAATCACATGAGAAACAGTCTTATAATACTGTGCCCTAGACAGTAGCCAGACTAGTTCTCAGGGAATAGTTTACCATCCAAAATACATTTGTTAGAAAACAAGAAAGATGAAAAATAAATGAACCATCCAAGATAAGCCAGAGAAAAGCAGCAAAATAAACCCAATGAAAGTAGTGGAAGGTATAATTTAAAAAATATATATATAGAAGACAATAACTCCCATGAAACTGTAAGATTAACATCTCGTGTTTAAATTTTGTTTTTTCTGTTTTAGGCATAAAGGCATCACAAGTGGTCGGGCTCAGCTACTCTGGTTCCTACAGACTTTCTTCTTTGGGATAGCGTCTCTCACCATCTTGATTGCTTACAAACGGAAGCGCCAAAAACAAACTTGAAGTTGTCTGAAAGCTTGCTCTACACTTTTACATTCATCCTCACCCTTTTTTTTGTGGGGTAGAGGAGGTGCAGTAATTTACTCAGTGATCTTTCTACTTTCTAGAAACTGTCCTTCAAAGCTCTTTAAGACCCCCTCGTTAGTCAGTTTTTTCTCTTATATGCTCTGGTTGAGCTTGAATAGACCAGTTGTTACTTAAGAAAGAAACAGAGAAAGATTTTAGCTTTTCAATCCTATTTGGCAGAGGACTTCAGCTACCTTCTTACAGTCTTTGGCTGTGTTGGTACCCTCGTGTGCTCTGAGCTAAGCCACATACTAAACTGACTTTTTGGTTTGTATACCCTTGCTCCCGCCTTCTGATGAAAACACCTTACCCTCACAACCACCATCTTTCCTCTCCTTTCCAAAGCTCTTTCCACCTTGCTGCACTAAGATAAAGTGACACTTCCACTATATGTCAATTCCACACACATTTATTAGGTACCTGTGAGGTAGGATCCTATCCTCTCAAACTTCCATTTCTCATGCTACAGAGAAAGATAAGGAAGATGAGCAAGTGCCTGGAATGGGGCAGGCTGAGCAGTCACACAGGCATAGAGGCACGCTGAGAACCTGGAGGGGAGACTGCAGAGTGCCTTCCCTGATGCTGCAGCCGGAAGTGATCCTTCCCTCCACCTGGCCCCTGGGACACTGTGCTCTGCAGTGTGCAGGGCCTGATGGCACTGCTAGATTGCTCCTTCAGCTCAGGGCCACAGCTTAAACAGCTTTACCTTTCCCCTCAGCACCTGTCCCACTATCTTGCACACAGGTGCTCTAACCATGTTTATTGAACAAAGGAGGGAAACTGATTTCACTTTCACTTGTTCATTATCATTCCAATTTTTATGTGAAAATGGCACAACCCATTTGGGGTACCCTCACCCCAAAATAAAAGCCCAAGTCTACCTTTGACTGGTACCACCTTTTTTGTGGTTTCGTTGGTGAGAAACCTTTATCTTTTTCATACCTTTCTATTCTCAATCACTTCTCCAAAAGTGTGTCTTTCCAGCTCTGATTTATTCAAAACACAAGCATTTCTGTTTAGAGATTCTAGCCCATGGGTTATCTGGCTAGTTATTACCTCTCCTGTTCACTTAGTTATACTTTATTATTGCTCACAGGCTGGGGAGGCAGAATGACTCTGTCACCACTAGGAGCCATTAGGGCTTCTTCCCTGGAGGACTGCCTGCTTGCTTTCTGGGGACACTAGCCCTCATTTCCCTTCTGTGGTACAGTGGGGCAAATTATTTGTATTAAGCAAACATTTATGGGAAACAACCCGCTCCCGAAAACGGAGCCCCCAAGTAAAGCACAACCCTGAAAGATTATGAACTATGAATTGTCTCTGGTAGAGATAAATTTCTGCAAACATATCTCAGTCTTCCCTCTGTTTCTCTGGTGATTAAGAAGTTCCTTTTTGGTAAGGAAAAGGATTTTTAACCATAGAGTTAGGCATCATGGAAATTCAAACCAGATTTCTTAATACCTGGTCTTCCTCAAAGAGAAATAATAACAGTAATAGTGGTGCTGGGAACAATATGGCAGATTATTGAATGAAATTGATTAACTTGAATAAAATGCTGTGAATTTTCTCTAGCTGAATGCTTTTCTTGTATTTGTCAGTTTTAACATATTGATGCACATTTGATACTTTTTCTCAAATAGACTACTAGGGAACTGTTTATACACTTCAGATATCAGTTTGTTTTTCACTGATAAAGAAATGCAAAACACTGTGGTTGTCGGGTATATACGTACTATATTTTAGAACTGTCCATGTCCCACTTACCTCCTCCACATACAAGGAATCACTAGGGTGGACCTGAGTGTCTCCTTTTCATTGTAGGATTGTCTCCTTTTTGTTTCTGTTTTTATTCAACATTTGATAAAGTCTATGCACTAAGTAAGGAGTGTTCTGGCATTTTTTTAAATGCATGAAGTCCGGTATGCATCACTTAACAATGGGGATGCCTTCTGAGAAATGCACTATTAGGTGAGTGCATTGTTGTGCAGATATCATAGGGTGTACTCACAAACCAAATGGTAGAGCCGACTACACACCTAGTTTATATGATACAGTCTGTTGCCCCTAGGCTACAAACCTGTACAGCATGTAGAGTAGTACTGAATACTGAAGGTAACTGTAACACAGTGGTAAGCATTTGTGTACTAGCTTTTCTTTAGGATGGGATTAAAAATATATATATATATATATATATATATATATATATATATATATTTTGGGAGGCTGAGGCAGGCAGATCACCTGAGGTAAGGAGTTCAAGACCAGCCTGGCCAACATGGTGAAACCCCGTCTCTACTAAAAATACAAAAATTAGCCAGTCATGGTGGCAGGTGTCTGTAATCCTAGCTACTCAGGAGGCTGAGGCAGGAGGCAGGAGAATTGCTTGAACCCAGGAGGCAGAGGTTGTAGTGAGCTGCGATTGTAGCATTTCACTCCAGCCTGGGCAACAGAGTGAGACTCCGTCTCAAGCAAAACAAAAAAAATAGCTAAACATAGAAAAGATACTGTAAAAATGTGTTCCAATCCTATGGAACCAGTGTCATATGTGCTGTCTGTGATTGATCAAAACGTCAATATGCAGCCGGGTGTGGTGGCTCACACCTGTAATCCCAGCACTTTGGGAGGCCGAGGCGGGCAGATCATGAGGTCAGGAGATCGAGACTATCCTGGCTAACATGGTGAAACCCCGTCTCTACTAAAAATACAAAAAATTAGCCGGGCATGGTGGCAGGCGCCTGTAGTCCCAGCTACTCGGGAGGCTGAGGCAGGAGAATGGCATGAACCCGGGAAGCGGAGCTTGCAGTGAGCCAAGATCATGCCACTGCACTCCAGCCTGGGCAACAGTGCAAGACTCCAACTCAAAAAGGTCAATACACAGGCACGCCTGTATAAAATCCTATCATCTTATTTGGAGTATTATCATGGCTTAGATGTAAAGGGGGATCTAGTGAGCAAATGATGCAGATCATTCCTTTCATAGACCCATAAACATCTCAGCGAGGTGAAGTAACTTACCCAATATCACACAGAGATGCATGATTCTGGGCCTCATGTTGCCACCTCCCCCATCACCCCTGAGTTTAGTAGTAAGTCTGTGAAGCAAAAAATTTAAAAATGGAGACATCTTGGCTTTGTGTGGTAGTCATGGTGGTGATATGCGAGAAAGAGCTTTATGTTGCATTTGGATGAGAAAAGGCCAGAGGCATCTTGGTGGAAGCAACCATGGAAAAAAAACAGACTAAACTGTTTTCTTACCCACCCCTTAGATTTCCAAAGCACGTATAGTTTGGAAAAATAAAAAGAAAGGACCAAAAAAAAAAAAAAAAAAACTAATGACCTCAGAACTTAATAGCAGGCCCAATTTATAAACTAACCGTGTTTCCTACATTCAACATGTTTATGGTTCCATGCAGTCTAAGCATGGTTTATGAGCCATGGTGTTAACATAAACCTGGGTTAGGTTTAAGAGGTTATATTCCAGATGTGTGAAGAGGCTTCTTTGCAAAACAGCTTGCCATCTCAGAGAGCCCTTATATCTTTACACTGAAGGTCTACAAACAAACACAAAAGAGAAGTCAGAGAACCTGCAGTTGAGGTCAGAGAACACAGTGCAATCAAATTTTTATCTTGCTAGGGCCCTTTCTGGAGTCTCATTAATTAAAGCTCTTAGTTTAGCAACCTGGTTGTGAGTATTTTTCCTTTCTTGTCAGCACAGTGAAAAAAAATGCTAGTAGGGTAGGTGGGTAATACCCTTGTAAGACCATGGAAACGTTCTCTCTGCCAGGCTCCTTGTCCGCAACAAATTGTGAATTATGTTTCTGTTTTCATCCACACTGGACAATAAGAGTCTTTAATGTTCACATTTCTCTTCTTCAAAAGGAGATTTGTGCTCCGAATCCCCAGTAAACATTTGAAAACCCTATTCAAAATACTGTATTTGCAATTTCTGTGAAACATTTTAAGATGGCTTCCAAGTTTTTATAAAGGATTATAAAAATGCCTCATTTCTATTTGTAGTAAGTCATAATGTTGGATTAAGGGAAATACTTTTGGTATACAATGAATACTGTTCAGTTACATTGGTGTGGGAAATGGAAAAGTAATTTTTAAAAGTAAGAAAGACAAATGCTGTTGAGGAAAATATTCATGAAATAACTTTTACTTACCTTTTCCTTGTATTAATACATTGCACAGGATGAATCGCTACTAAAATTGATGAAATCTTAACATTGTTATAAATAAGAGGAATAGCATCTATAATATAAGGTAGGGAACAGTTCCCTAAATCTCAAGCACATAGAGGCCACCTCCACAACTTTAATCATGTCTACACTCCATCTGAATTTATTATTTATTATTTAAAGCAATTCACTTTTTTTTCTTTAGACTGAGTCTTGCTGTATTGTCCAGGCTGGAGTTGAGTGGCGTGATCTCGGCTCACTGCAATCTCCACCTCCCAGGTTCAAGCGATTCTCCTGCCTCAGCCTCCCAAGTAACTGGGATTACAGGTGCCCATCACCATACCCGGCTAATTTTTGTATTTTTAGTAGAGATGGGTTTTCACCATGTTGGCCAGGCTGGTCTCAAACTCCTGACCTCAAATGATCTGCCGGCCTCAGCCTCCCAAAGTGTTGGGTTTACAGGCATGAGCCACTGCACCTGGCCAGAAATTCACTTAAAAAAAAAAATTCCTAAACAAGAATAACTATGAAGTCCCAGGCTTGGTTTGTTCATTATATTTTTTCTAATACGTACGAGAAGAAAGGATAATTATTACCTAAAATACCATGCATACTAGGGATACATTTGACACACTTAAAAATCAGAAAGTATTACCCTACTAGTTGAGGCTGAAGCATGGGATTTAACCTGGCTCTAGCCACAGGATTTTAGACAAGTTTGTTTCTGTACCTCAGTTTCATCATTAAAAGAATTGATGTTTTAGACATGAAGCCTTTGCCCATGCCTATGTCCTGAATGGTATTGCCCAGGTTTTCTTCTAGGATTTTTATGGTCCTAGGTCTTACGTTTAAGTCTTTGATCCATCTTGAGTTGATTTTTGTATAAGGTGTAAGGAAGGGGTCCAGTTTCAGTTTTCTGCATATGGCTAGCCAGTTTTCCAACAACATTTATTAAACAGGGACTCTTTTCCCCATTGCTTGTTTGTGTCAGGTTTGTCAAAGATCAGATGGTTGTAGATGTGTGGTGTTATTTCTTGGGCCTCTGTTCTGTTCCATTGGTCTATATGTCTGTTTTGGTACCAGTACTATGCTGTTTTGGTTACTGTAGCCTTGTAGTAGAGTTTGAAGTCAGGTAGCATGATGCCTCCAGCTTTGCTATTCTTGCCCAGGATTCACTTGGCTATGCGGGTCTTTTTTGGTTCCATATGAAGTTTAAAGTAGTTTTTTCCAATTCTGTGAAGAAAGTCCGTGGTAGCTTGATGGGGACAGCATTGAATGTATAAATTACTTTGGGAAATATGGCCATTTTCGTGATATTGATTCTTCCTATCCATGAGCATGGAATTTTTTTTCCATTTGTTTGTGTCCTCTCTTATTTCCTTGAGCAGTGGTTTGTAATTCTCCGTGAAGAAGTCCTTCACATCCCTTGTAAGGTGTATTCCTAGGTATTTTATTCTCTTTGTAGCAATCGTGAATGGGAGTTCACTCATGATTTGGCTCTCTGTTTGTCTGTTATTGGTGTATAGGAATGCTTGTGATTTTTGCACATTGATTTTGTATCCTGAGACTTTGTTGAAGTTGCTTATCAGCTTAAGGAGATTTTGGGCTGAGACGACAGATTTTTCTAAATTATACAATCATGTCATCTGCAAACAGACAATTTGACTTTCTCTCTTCCTATTTGAATACCTTTATTTCTTTCTCTTGCCTGATTGCCCTGGCCAGAACTTCCAATATTGTGTTGAATAGGAGTGGTGAGAGAGGGCATCCTTGTCTTGTGCTGGTTTTCAAAGGGAATGCTTCCAGTTTTTTCCCATTCAGTATGATATTGGCTGTGGGTTTGTCATAAATAACTCTTATTATTTTGAGATATGTTCCATTGACACCTAGTTTATTGGGAGTTTTTAGCATGAAGCGGTGTTGAATTTTGTCAAAGGCCTTTTCTGCATCTATTGAGATAATCGTGGTTTTTGTCATTGCTTCTGTTTATGTGATGGATTACGTTTATTGATTGTGTATGTTGAACCAGCCTTGCATCCCAGGTATGAAGCCTACTTGATCATAGTGGATAAGCTTTTTGATGTGCTGCTGGATTCAGTTTGCCAGTATTTTACTGAGGATTTTCACATTGATGTTCACCAGGAAATTGGCCTGAAATTTTCTTTTTGTGTTGTGTCTCTGCCAGGTTTTGGTATCAGGATGATGCTGTCCTCATAAAATGAGTTAGGGAGGATTCCCTCTTTTTCTATTGTTTGGAATAGTTTCAGAAGGAATGGTACCAGCTCCTCTTTGTACCTCTGGTAGAATTCAGCTGTAAATCCATCTGGTCCTGGACTTTTTTTGGTTGGTAGGCTAATAATTACTGCCTCAATTTCAGAACTTGCTATTGGTTTATTCAGGGATTTGACTTCCTGGTTTAGACTTGGAAGGGTGTGTGTGTCCTGGAATTTATCCATTTCTTCTAGATTTTCTAGTTTATTTGTATAGAGGTGTTTATAGTACTCTCTGATGGTAGTTTGTATTTCTGTGGGATCAGAGGTGATATCCCCTATATCATTTTTTATTGCATCTTTTTGATTTTTCTCTGTTTTCTTCTTTATTAGTCTGGCTAGCGGTCTATCAACAAAAGCCAAAATTGACAAATGGGATCTAATTAAACTAAAGAGCTTCTGCACAGCAAAAGAAACTATCATCAGAGTGAACAGGCAACCTACAGAATGGGAGAAAATTTTTGCAATCTATCCATTGGACAAAGGGCTAATATCCAGAATCTACAAAGAAATTAAACAAATTTGCAAGAAAAAAAAACTCCATCAAAAAGTGGGCAAAGGATATGAACAGACACATCTCAAAAGAAGACATTTATGCAGCCAACAGACATGAAAAAATGCTCATCATCACTGGTCATTAGAGAAATGCAAATCAAAACCACAATGAGATACCATCTCACGCCGGTTAGAATGGCGATCATTAAAAAGTGAGGAAACAACAGATGCTGGAGAGGATGTGCAGAAATAGGAACACTTTTACACTGTTGGTGGGAGTGTAAATTAGTTCAACCATTGTGGAAGACAGTGTGGCGATTCCTGAAGGATCTAGAACTAGAAGTACCATTTGACCCAGCAATCCCATTACTGGGCATATACCCAAAGGATTATAAATCATTCTACTATAAAGACACATACACATGTATGTTTACTGTGGCACTATTCACAATAGCAAAGACTTGGAACCAAACCAAATGTCCATCAATAATAGACTGGATAAAGAAAATATGGCACATATACACCATGGAATACTATGCAGCCATAAAAAAGGATGAGTTCATATCCTTTGCAAGGACATGGATGAAGCTGGAAACCATCATTCTCAGCAAACTATCACAAGAACAGAAAACCAAACACCACGTGTTCTTACTTATAAGTGGGAGCTGAACAATGAGAACACATGGACATAGGGAGGGGAACATCAAACACCAGGGCCTGTCGGTGGGTGGGGGGCTAGGGGAGGGATAACATTAGGAGAAATACCTAATGTAGGTGACGGGTTGATGGGTGCAGCAAACCACCATGGCACATGTATACCTATGTAACAAAACTGCACATTCTGCACATGTATCCCAGAACTTAAAGTATAATAATAATAAAAGAATTGAAATGCCACTCAAAACCTGTTAGAACTTATAGACAAATTCAATAAAGTTGCAAGATACGAAGTCAAAATACAAAAATCAGTAGCATTTTCATACACCAACAACAAGTTATCCACAAACAGAAGGAAAGAAAGCAATCCCATTTACAGTAGTTAAAAAGAAGTTAAATACCTAGGAGTACATTCAACCAAGGAAGTGAAAGGTCTCTACACTGAAAACTACAAAACATTGGCGAAAGGAACTGAAGACGCAAATAAATGGAAAGACATGCCATGTTCATGTATTGAAAGATTTAATATTGTTTAAATATCCATACCACCCAAAGCAATCTACAGATTCAATGCCATCCCCATCATAATTCAAACAATACTTTTTCTCAGAAATTAAAAAAAAAAGTCCTGAAATTTGTATGGCACTTTGGGAGGCTGAGGCAGGTGGATCACTTGAGGTCAGGAGTTCGAGACCAACCTGACCAACATGGTGAAACCCCGTCTCCACTAAAAATACAAAAAGTAGCCAGGTATGCTAGCGCCCGCTTGTAATCCCAGCTACTCAGGAGGCTAAGGCAGGAGAATCGCTTGAACCCAAGAGGTGGAGGAAGAGAAAGAAAGAAAAAGAGAGAAGAAAGGAAAGATAGAAGAAAGAAAAAGAAAGAGAAAGAAAGAAAGAAAGGAAGGAAGGAAGGAAGGAAGGAAGGAAGGAAGGAAGGAAGGAAGGAAGAGAAGAAAAGAAAGGAGGGAGGGAGGAAGGGAAACTTTGTAAACTGTAACATGTAAAGCACGAGTAGTTTTCCTGGAAAGTGTGGGATTGCCCACGATGCAGCCTGTGCTCCTCAAACTTGACCACACGGGTGGATCACACGGGATCTTGTGAAAAGGGGAGTTCTGATTAAGTGTGGAGCCAGTAGGAGATTCTGCATGCTAGCAGGATCCCTGGTGATGTTAATGCTGCTGACCTGTAGACCACTTTGAGTAGCAAAATAGAGAAAATTTAAAACTACAAATCACATGGTTCAGCCTTGATTTCTGAGTCTTAGGGTTGATTTCTGTATGTACCAACACTGTCAATAAGAAAAACTGCTATGCACTGTTCCTGGGAGCTTAGTAGTTAATGCAAACAGTATTTGGAGTCATAACACAATCTGGCAAAGAGCGTTGTTCCAGGGCTGAAAATGCTGATGGAATTAACCAACTCACCTATCTGCATATTCCTCCCTCCTGGAGAAGAAAAATTAGGGATTGGGTCTTTTGAAAGTAAAAAGAACTTAATACGTTTCAAATATTTATTTTGTTCTAGACACGGATATAAAATATCCAAAATCCACAACTGCTTTGAGGTAACCATTATCCCCACTTCATAGTTGAAGGTACTACAAAATACTATAGATGAAGATACTGGCCGGGTGCCGTGACTCACACCTATAATCTCAGCACTTCAGGAAGGTGAGGCAGGAGGATCGCTTGAGCCCAGGAGTTCAAGAAAAGCCTGAGGCAACATGGCCAGACCCAGTCTCCACAAAATTTAGCCAGACGTGGCGGCGCATGCCTGTGGTGCCCGCTGCTTGGGAGGCTGCAGTGGGGGGATCACCTAAGCCCAGGGAGGTCGAGGCTTAAGTGAGCCGTGATCATGCCACTGCTCTCCAGCCTGGGCCACAGAGTGAGATCCTGTCTCAAAAAAGAGGAAAAGAAAAAGACAGTAACACCCCACCTCATTCATTCATTCTAAATAAATACATAAATAAGATACTATATGGCGGCAGGGCGCGGTGGCTCACGCCTGTAATCCCAGCACTTTGGGAGGCCGAGGCAGGTGGATCACAAGGTCAGGAGATCGAGACCATCCTGGCTAACACGGTGAAACCCTGTCTCTACTAAAAATACAAAAATAATTAGCCGGGCATGGTGGCGGGCGCCTATAGTCCCAGCTACTCGGGAGGCTGAGGCAGGAGAATGGCTTGAACCCGGGAGGCGGAGCTTGCAGTGAGCGGAGATCGCGCCATTGCACCCCAGCCTGGGTGACAGAGCAAGACTCAGTCTCAAAAAAAAAATACTATACGGCAGAGAATCCCTGCCAAGATCCTCAAAATCAACCCTAAACAAATAGTGGAAGGACAAGAGAGAGACACATGAATTCCTAACACTAAGTGGGGAAATTAGGGAATAACTCACTACCCGCCTCCGGGACTGAAGACTACTGACATTGGTGTGGGGGTGGGGAGGGCTAATGGCTGTAGCCTGGGTATCATGAAGAACTGGTTGGGCAGCCTTTACATTCTGCTCTTGTTCCCTCAAGCTGCCTTGAGAGAGACAGTCATCAGCCTGACTCCTTCAGCATGACAGTTAACATAGTGCCCGGAGCAGTGTCCACCCATATCAGCAACACAAACTCCGCAGGGGCATGGGAGAGAGTTCACAAAAATAGACGCAGACAGCCCTCAGGTAGTTCCTCCACCGGTGCTTCCAACCAAATCGCCAGGATTGTGGATTATCTTACTTTCTCCTAAGGGTTTAAAAGTGAAAATTCCAGCCAAAGGAGCGACTAGTGGATTGGTGGTCGCTGGATTCTCAATCCTTACATCGCTGGGACCAACATAGGTGAAACTGTCCTTGGCCCCTCTCAGTACGTATGATCAGACTTTTTCCCAAGGGAAAACGAGCCCACAGCCAAATAACTGGACAGCTGGGGAGGACAAGTCTCCACAAGCAACACGTATCATCTGATCACACATGTTGAAGCAGAAGGACCCAAAATCTAAAAATGCTCCTTAAATACGAGGCAAGAGAAAATGTTAGTAATATGCAGCAAAAACAAGACATCCTAAAAAAAAAAAAAACTAAGTGAAAATATTAGGTAGGAAAAATAAAATAGTTAAAATGAAGAATTCGATAAATGGAAATAGCACAAATGAAATAGAATGGATATAGCTGAAGAAATAATATGTGAACACACGATTGTGGCAGTCTCACAATAAGACTAAAACATGAAATAGAAAAGAAAAGCTTGGAAATGTGGATGATAAACATTAAAGTGCAAACACCTGAGCAATAGTTCCAGCTGGAGTAAGAAATAAAAATAAAGTGGAGGAACTACTTGAACAAATAATGGAGATACATTTCCAAAAAATGACCTTATTTGAAAGGACTTATAAAGAGACAATAAGAGATCAGGAAAAATCAATTCCTAGGTACAACTATAAAATTTAAAAATAATAAGTAAAAAAAAAATATAATAAGTAAAAATAATGAGGAGACTGGGCACAGTGGTTTATGCCTCTAATACCAACACTCTGGGAGGCCAAGGCAGGAGGATCACTTGAGGCCAGGAATTCAAGACAAGCCTGAACAACATTTTGAGACACTATCTATCTCTACAAAAAAAAATAAGGCTGGGAGCGGTGGCTCATGCCTGTAATCCCAGCACTTTGGGAGGCCGAGGCAGGTGGATCATGAGGTCAGGAGATTGAGACCATCCTGGCCAAATGGTGAAACTTCATCTCTACTAAAAATACAAAAAATTAGCCAGGCATGGTGGCACGCGCCGGTGGTCCCAGCTACTCGGGAGGCTGAGGCAGGAGAATCACTTGATCCTGGGAGGGGGAGGTTGCAGTAAGCCAAGATCGTGCCACTGCACTCCAGCCCGGGCGACAGAGTGAGACTCCATCTAAAAAAAAAAAAAAAAAATTAGCTAGTCATGGTGGCACTTGGCTGTAGTCCTACCTACTTGGGAGGCTGAGGCAAGAGGATCACTTTAGCCCAGGAGGTCAAGGCTGCAGTGAGCTGTGATCACACACCACTGCACTCCAGCCTGGGCCACAGAGTGAGACCCTCTCTCAAAATAATAATAATAGTAATAAAGACAAGGAGAAAGTTCTAAAAGCTTCCAAAGAGAGAGCAGATCACCTCCAAAGGAATGACAATGAGATAGACATCAAATAGCTACATGAGATCCTGGGAGGCAGTGTAGTATAATGGTTAACTGTAACTACATAGTAGTTATAAAGTATTAGGAGACAGTAATTTTGAGGGTAGAATTTTATTTTATTTTATTTTTTATTTTTTTGAGACAGAGTCACGCTCTGTCACCCAGGCTGGAGTGCGGTGGCGAAATCCTGGCTTACTGCAAACTCCACCTCCCGGGTTCAAGTGATTCTCCTTCCTCGGCCTCCTGAATAGGTGGGATTATAGGCGCCTGCCACCATTCCCAGCTAATTTTTGTATTTTTAGTAGAGACGGGGTTTTACCATATTGGCCAGGCTGGTCTGGAACTCCCAACCTCAGGTGATCCACCTGCCTTGGCCTCCCAAAGTGCTGGGATTACAGGTGTGAGTTACCACGCCTGGTCTTGAAGGTAGAATTTTATATTCAGCCAAATTATCATACAAATGGGAGAGAGTGATGGGAAGAATCACCTGCATTCAAGGGCTCAGAGCACTTGCCACACACAGACCCACACTAAAAACACTTTTGGAAGAAGATCTCAAAAAATGAAAGGAAAAAAAACCCAGGTAATGCTGCAGGAGGCAAAGGGGAAGAAGAGAGGAGAGAGTCATCAAAGAAAAATAAAAAGAGAGATAATAATGTTTTCAAAACAACCCTGGTTTAGAACTATATTTGTTCCATATAACCTCCATAGTGGCACATGTATGTGTGCATGTGTGTGTGTGGTGGGATCAGTGGGGGGGTATAAATTAACTGGGCAGGAGAGCAATGCTGAATTAGTTGCATTTTTTTTTTTTTTTTTTTTTTTGAGACAGAGTCTTGCTCTATCACCCAGGCTGGAGTGCAGTGGCACAATCTCAGCTCATCGCAGCCTCCGCATCCTGAGTTCAAGCAATTCTCCTGCCTCAGCCTCCTGGGTAGCTGGGATTACAGGCACATATTACTACTCCTGGCTAATTTTTGTATTTTTAGTAGAGATGGGGTTTCACCACGTTGGCCGGGCTTGTCTCGAACTCCTGACCTCAAGCAATCTGCCCGCCTCGGCCTCCCAAACTGCTGGGATTATAGGCGTGAGCGCCCACGCCCTGGCCTGTACTGGCTGCATTATTAAGGGCAATATAGATGCTAATAAATGTAAGAAAGCAACTGGAATAAATAAACATGAAATGAGGAATTCAATGCAACTACCATAAGAATAAAAATAGAATCTATGTATAATTGTTTCTATTTGGAAAAAATTATTTTTCCTTTACTTCTTGACAATTTTCCAACAAGAGCTAAGTTGCCCACATTCCATGTTGCTGTCTTGGAGTGGGGAGAAATCTGTCTTCAAGAGAGCGTGAGAGCCAACTGGATCTGCATGGTGTGTGAACAAGACGGGTTACAATAGAAAAACAAAGTCCAGGCTGGCCACTTAGCGTAGCTCATCTTGGATGCCTCCAAAAATCTCTAAATGCTGCTCAACTTAGCCAGAATTGTGTTAAACAACACAGGATAAGAGATGAAATCATGTTTGAGCTCCACTTGTAATCAGAATGCCGGAAGGGATGGCAGAAATCTCCTCCCCCAACTCCCGCCATGGAGGGAGCTAGGTCATATGAAGGAAGGCAACCACCAATGACACCCAGCTAGCTAATTTGGTGACAGACCTAGGTCCTTGACACCTTGATATTTCACCAAGCTGCCTGTCAGTGGTGTCGGGTGAAACATCCAAAGTAATGTTCTCAACAGCATGCCTCACCTCCCAAATATTTTACAAATATTATCCAAGAATGATGTATTAAGAGTGAGAGTAGTTTCTGTGATTGTTAACTGCCTTAAACCCCCACATCCTGTTCATGTTACTGGCGTCTGCCTTTGATACTGTATCCATAGCAATGTGCAAATATTGTAAACACTCTGCTGACCCAGGGGTTTTCTTGCCATTGGCTGAAGGTGCAGCACTAATATGTTGCACATGTACACAGAATGGCCGTAGTTACAGCATTTATGAAGCTTTGACATCTGCACAGCCAGAGAGCTTGCTGGCTTACGTTCTGCATATCAGAGTATTTCCTAGGAAACTGAAAATAAATACATTATGAAATTTCAATTTTCAGTGTGTCACTAGTGTTGTTCTGGCGTCCTGTCATGCCTGCTGCAAAACACACTTTGACCAGGAAGGGATGCCTTATGAAATCTCATTATATCCTTTCAATCTGCAGAAGTCCCACAGAATTCCTTCTGTGTTAATAACAGGAAGATCCAACATGAATTAAAAACTCACTATGTGCTGGGTGTTATGCTAGAGCCTTGCTTGCATTCTTTCATTTAATTATCACTTTAAACCCTAGGAAGTAGGTGCTGCTAACCCATTTTTCCCAGTTAGAAAACGGGGGCCGGCCAGATGCGGCGGCTCACACCTGTAATCCCAACATTTAGGGAGGCCGAGGCAGGCGGATCATCTGAGGTCAGGACTCCAAGACCATCTCTACTAAAAATACAAAAATTAGCCGGGCATCATGGCGCACACCTGCAGCCCCAGCTACTCGAGAGGCTGAGGCAGGAAAATCGCTTGAACCTGGGAGGTGGAGGTTGTAGTGAGCCAAGATTGCTCCACTGCACTCCAGCCTGGGTGACAGAGTAAGACTCTGCCTCAAAAAAAAGAAAAGAAAAGAAAACTGGGGCCAAATGAATTAAATACCTTGTTTACAGTCAGAGCTAGTGAGTGTAAAAACAAAAACAAAAACAAAACCTAGTGAGTGGTAGGAACCAGGAATCAAACCTAGATTTCAAGGCCTGCATTTGTATCATGTGTTCACAGCCTAACTATTGTAAATTGCAGAGGTGACTGTAGCACAAAATCGCTCCCCAGTATTAATATATTCACAGTGGGGCGACGAAGACCCTGGTGAAGGAATGATAGAGTGTGTAAAAGCAGAGGACCCTTCGTCAGAGGACACCTGAGGATGACTGAAAGAAGCTCGGTGGGAAAGCTGAGCACTTGGAAGAACCAGGGTAACAATGGGACAAAGTGAAAGCAAACATTCTGCTTCTTTGAATTTCTTAAGGCATTTATTATGAAAAGGGGGAATGAAAAGTTAGTACTCAGGATTTGTTGTCACTCTTTAGCACAGAAAAGCAGTTTTGCCCATGGTTTCCGGAACAAGGGACTATGGAGTTGGATGAGTGGGAGAGAATTGGAAGAGATTTTAAAAAGGCGTATAAAGATGGAGCAGAAATTCCAGTTTCCATTTGGTCAATGTGGGCACTAATAAAGGCAGCTCTTGAGCCATTTCAAACAGAAGATGAGGCAGATTCAGATGAGGAAGAGGAGGACGAGTGTAAAAAACTAACTTCAGATTCTGAGTGTGAGGAACAGCTACTGGAGGAGATTAAAGAAAAGAAAGGAAAACTTAGAAAAGCATGTTTTACTAGCCCGTCAGCTCCATCTGCTGAATTAAGTGAATGGCCACCTCCTCTCTCTCCCCTTAATGGGAGAGAAAATGAATTAGCTGAAAAACTTACTGCTCCTGTAGTTGCAACATTAAAACCTGGAGCAACTGGTGGTGTTGTATAAAATTCTATTCAAAAAGCTAGAGCTGAGGGAGACCTTGAAACATGGCAATTTCCAGTTACTATAACCCAGCAAGGAGGACAGAATATAGCTAATTGGGCCACTTTTCCTTTTAAGTTACTAAAGAAATTTAAGCAAGCCATTAGTCAATACGGACCAAACTCTCCTTTTGTGCAAACTTTGTGGAAAAATGTGGCTCTTGATAATAGGTTATTACCATATGATTGGGATACAAAATCTGTTCTCACTCTGTCTCAGTATTTACAGTTTAAAACCTGGTGGGCTGATGAAGCTCAAACTCAGGCAAGGGAAAACACACAAGCGCATCCACCTGTGCCTGTTTCCTTTGAACAGTTAATGGGAGTTTGCCCTAATTGGGGTCGATTAGAGAATCAAGCAGTAATGGAGGATGTTGCCATTGTTCAGCTGCGCTCTGTGTGCTTACGGGCATGGGAAAGGATAAATGTTACAGGGGAAAAATATCCTTCTCCCAGTTCTGTCCAACAAGGACCTAAAGAACCATATATTGATTTTATTGCTTGGCTCCAAGAGGCTGTATATAAAGCCATAACTGATAAAACAGCTGAGGATGTTGCAATACAGCTTCTTGTATACGATAATGCTAATGCAGAGTGTCAAACTGCTATTAGAACCCTGAGAGGGAAAGTTCATTTAGCTGAATATATTAAGGCTGGCAATGGCATTGGAGGTAACTTACATAAGGCTACTCTTTTAGCTCAGGCTATGTCTGGATTGAAAGTAGGAAAGAGTATGCCCCATTTCTCAGGCTCTTGCTTTAATTGTGGGCAATTTGGACACACAAAAAAGGAATGTAGGAAAGGAAATGCTCTCTAGTAATGGAAAAGCCTCAAAAGGTTCAAATTCAAAGAGATAATTTTAAAACCTTAAATGATTTCCAAAAATTCAGCTGAACAACACCTGACAGGACAAAAGGAAAATAAAAAGGCTAGACAAGATATATGGTGGAGGGATGCACATATAAAGAGCTGGGAAAAAAGAAATATAATTATATGGGGAAGAGGATTTGCTTATGTCTCTCCAGATGACAATCAGGTGCCTGTGTGGCTGCTCACCAAAAATCTGAAGATCTATCATGAACCACAGCATCTAGTGGATCCACTTGTACAGTGCAAATTGAAGTTTTAAGGATTGCTTTTTTGCTATACTGTTGCACAAGAAGGATAAGCCTCGATTGGCTTCCTCTATGCCTTCTGTTAATCAGAAAAAGCCTGCTTCTCATTATCAGTGGTAAGTTTTACCCCATGGTAATTAACCAAAGAGGCAGAAGCTGGGTTACAAATGCTTCAGCAATTAAAAAAAACAGAAAAGGCCTTTGCTTCTGTTTCAGCAGATTTACTAACGTGGGGATGAGGATATGCTTGTGTTTTTGCAGGAGATGAACAAACTGTGTGGGTGCCCTCAAGATGTGTATGACCATGGAACGGGAGACTGGAGGGACCCATGGATCCCAACCATGGACCAGGTTCCCCCAGTACGAGCCATGAGCCAGTTGAATCTGAATGCAAAGATGGAATGAGGACTGACCAGAGTCACGCTGACATCAACCCCCATAACATGGGGAGAGATCAAGAAAACCACACAGGAAGCTGAGAAACTGCTGGAGCGCCAGGGTTTTACCTTTTGCTGGGATTCAGAGGTACAGTAGATGCTTAACGGACCAACGCTTTCTGACTGAACTCCTCTCTACCCTGAATAAAAGAGACCCTAATAGCTAGGCTGGAATATCATTGCCCCTATTCAGCATGAAAAAGTTACAGAAGACGGGCCTTCATCCTTCTGCAACCCTTAGAATTAAGGGTCCTCTTGTGAAAGGGAAAGGGGAAATATGTAAGAAGCATTCAAACCAGAGCAACTCCATTTTGAATAAGGACTAAGAAAAATGAAGCTGGATCACCAACTGGCAATTAAGGGCTGCACAGCCTGCAATTGCCTTGCTCAATTAATTTAAAAACAAAGAGGACCTTTTGGATTCAAAGCTGTGTTATGTTACTGTTAAATGCCATCTGGAGGGCAGAGATGAAAATCTCACCCTCGATACAGTAAAGCTAAAACAGCAGGTTTTTGAAGCCTCTCAGGCTCACTTGAACCTGCTCCCTGGAACTGATACTTTGAACAAGACAGCCAATGGGTTGTCTGCAATTGATCCTCTTAAATGGACTAAGGTCATTGGAAGCTCTACACTTGCAGATTTTATTCTAATAATTATGTGCTTGTGCTGTCTCCTTTTAGTCTGCAGATGCAGGAGCTGCCACTGGAGAGAAAGCTGCCATCGAGAACAAGCAATGATAGCTATGCTGGTTTTACAAAAAAGAAAAGAGGGACATGTTGGGAGAAAAGCTGAGTGTTGGGAGAGAAGCTGAGGCAGGGCTTGGAACATGTCCAGGATCCAGGGTAAAACCACTGGTGGCCTTTGGAATGCGCCCAGACTTACTGGCTCCTTGCTTCTAGCACTCCCATTATCTCAAGTAGCCATATGTTTCAAAGAAAATGCTAAACCATTACAGCTGTAGTTCATTCCTTGATACACCACTTCCTTTTAACCCCCACATCCTCGCCATCTGTTTCTTTGTTTGATCACCAATGAATAGCATGGGCTCTCAGAGCTCGAGGCCTTCACGGCCTCCATACTAGCATTGGCCCCCTGGTCCCACTTTCTCTCTCAACTTGTCTTTTCTCATTCCTTTGACTCCACCAGACTTCATAGCCCCCACGGTCTGGTGTTGGGTCTGATCACCCCAACATCCACCACCATGCCTGGCTAATTTTTGTATTTTTAATACAGACGGGATTTCACCATGTTGGCCAGGCTGGTCTCGAACTCCTCCCAAAGTGCTGGGATTACATGTGTGAGCCACCATGCCCAACCATCAGTAAACCTTTAATATTGTCTGGGATCCAAACAGGCCCAGCAAACAAACAGCCTTGCCAGGAATTGTTCTTCATGGGTGGGGATTTGTGGATGCAGTGCCAAGACTCTCAAATGGAAAAGAGTAAGGACTTAGAGAGCAAGATTAGAAGGCAGAAGATGTGGCACTTCACTAGCCATGCAACCTTGAACAAATTATTTCACCTCTTTTTTATTTTGAGACAAAGTCTCTCCTCTCTATCACCCAGGCTGGAGTGCCGTGGCACTATCTCAGCTCACTGCAACCTCTGCCTCCCAAGTCCAAGTGATTCTCATGCCTCAGCCTCCAAGTAGGTGGGATTACAGGCATGCACCACCATGCCCGGCTAACTTTTGTATTTCTAGTAGACATGGGGTTTCACCATGTTGCCCAGGCAAGTCTCGAACTCCTGACCTCAGGTGACCCACCCGCTTTGACCTCCTAATGTGCTGGTACTACAGGCATGATCCACCATGCCTGGCCTCATTTCACCTCTTAAACTTGGGTTTTCTTGTGAGGCACTTACACTTGATTTATAAGATTCCTCTCAGTTTTAAAATTCCATAAAATTCCAGAAGCACTATCTGGGAGAATTAGTGAGTCCCCTGGGAGAAGTAGTGAGTCCCCTGTCTCTGGAAGCATTCAAGCAGAGTGAGAATAGTCCGTTGTCTGATCTGCTGTAGACAAAATTCGTACATTAGGTAGGAGGTTAATATTTGATTTGAATAATTAAGTCAATAATAAAAAATAGCATTGAGTATGTAATATGTGCCCAGCCCTGTTCTAAGCATTTACACGTCTCATTTATTTGATCCTTTCAGTAATTGCAAGGGGGGTGGGGGGTAGATACTATCCCTATTGTACAGAGGATAGTCTGATCAGAGGCAGCACTAACCAGAGATCTCACAGCTAGGGAGAGATGGAGATTGGAAATCAGATTGCTGTGGCCCCCACCAAGTCCTAATCCCCACCCAATTCTGTCAGCAGACTCCGGGCTCTGGGGTGGGCGTGTCTTCCCACTGGCCTGGGATCTGGGTGCAAGGTGACCTGCCTGCCTCCTATCTGTCTCCCTCTGAGGCAGGGAATTGAGTGTGGAATGCAGACAGCAGGCTTGCCAACAAAGCCGCTTTCCCACAGCCTGCAGCAGAAAGCTGCCTTCTGCTGCTTGGGGCTACAAATGCTCTGAGCCCTTCACCAGCAGCCTTATTTTACAGAAGGCGAAACTAACACCCAGAAACGGCAAGCTACCTACCCAAGGTCACAGAACAAACAAGTGGCACAGTTGCCTGGAGTCCTCACTTCCTGGCCAGTGCTCGATGTTCTGTTTTTTTTTTTTTTAATCTAAATCATATGACTGCAATCGCTTGCATATGGCAGTCCCTCGGTTTTCTGTTCTGAATATACATATTTTCTTTGTTTCGTTTTGTTTTGTTTTTTCCTTTGAGACAGAGTTTCACTCTTGTTGCCCAGGCTGGAGTGCAATGGCGTGATCTCAGCTCACTGAAACCTCCACCTCCTGAGTTCAAGCGATTCTCCTGCCTCAGCCTCCCGAGTAGCTGGGATTACAGGTGCCTGCCACAATGCCTGGCTAATTTTGTATTTTTAGTAGAGACAGGGTTTCTCCATGTTGGTCAGGCTGGTCTCGAACTCCTGACTTCAGGTGATCCGCCCACCTCAGCTCCCAAAGTGCTGGGATTACAGGCATGAGCCACCATGCCTGGCGTGAATATACATATTTTCTAATCAAGGCCTATGTATCAACTACAGCAAATTGGAGATTCACAACAGCGGCAATTATTCAAAATGAAACTCTCTGCCTATTATATTCTAAAAATTCTAATCCAACCTCACTGCTGCACAAGATATTTATCTCTTGTTGGTCCTGAATCCACACTTGTGCTCCTTTGAGGCAAGTTTCCTCACTAACATTGAGCCCCCTAATTACATATTAACCTTTGCCCCAGCTGTCACCCAGCCAGAATTCTCCCTGCAGTCCTCTGCTTATCTGGCCTGCTGGGAACTCAGGATCAAACAGCACTGAGAATTCAACAATTATTTCTTTCTTCTTCTTTTTTTTTTTTTCTCAAGATCTGCTTTTAGGAGAAGCAATCATTTCAACACTGCATTACAAATGAATTTATACCTCAGTCAGAAACAAGCAACCCCACACCCCACTCCACTCCCCACTAAGCTTCTCTCTTTTTTTTTTTTTTTGGAGATGGTCTCATGCTGTTGCCAAGGCTGGAGTGCAGTGGTGCCATCTTGACTCACTGCAACCTCCGCCTCCCGGGTTCAAGCAATTCTCCCACCTCAGGCTCCAGAGTAGCTGGGACTACAGGTGCGTGCCACCAAGCCAGGCTAATAATTGCATTTTTTTTTTTTTTTTTTTTTTGAGACAGAGGCTCGCTCTGTCGCCCAGGCTGGAGTGCAGTGGCGCAATCTCGGCTCACTGCAAGCTCCGCCTCCCAGGTTCACGCCATTCTCCTGCCTCAGCCTCCCGAGTAGCTGGAACAACAGGCGTCCGCCACCACGCCTGGCTAATTTTCTGTATTTTTAGTAGAGACGAGGTTTCACCATGTTAGCCAGGATGGTCTCGATCTCCTGCCTCGTGATCTGCCCACCTCGGCCTCCCAAAGTGCTGGGAGTACAGGCGTGAGCCACTGCGCCCAGCCAATTATTGTATTTTTAGTAGAGACAGAGTTTCACCATGTTGGCCAGGCTGCTCTCGAACTCCTGACCTCAAGTGATCCACTCACCTCAGCCTGTCAAAGTGTCAGGATTACATGCATGAGCCACTGCACCTGGCCTCTTTTTTGGTTTTTATGGGCAATGTGTACTCTCAGATCACACGTTGGTTTGGGGATCAACCTCAGAGTAAGATGCACATTCACATTCTGGAGGATGACACAGTTAGGAACAGGCTTTAGAATCCAGTGTGACCTTGGGCAGATCTTTCATCTGTTCTCAATCGCATTTGTAAAACACAGGCAAAGACTGTCGCAACCTCACAAACAATGTTTGCTGAAAGGAGAAATGAGTGGTTTTCTGGGCCACTCCATTCTCATCCCGTCACTCTCATGTCGCACTTCATCCTCAAGTGTAGTTGGAGATTGTCATCAACTTCATCCCTCCCGCCCACCCCTCGTTGGCATCAAGGTCACCTCCAGTGGGTACTCCACACTGAGGAACTGTGCCCTTTGCCACTCAGCTGGGGCCCAAAGCTCTGTTCTCCACAAAAGTCATAAAGGGACACTAATGGAGATACTGGAAAATCTTACTACATAGAAATATGAAAAGTTCTGTGTTAAAACTATTGTAAGCAAACTGAGAAAACAATCATGAAACTGGGAGAAATATGTGCAACTCATAGCACGGGCAGAGGTGAACTTCCCTAATACAATGAAGCCTACTAACACAAAAAGAATAAAAAGAAATAAAGGATATAAACATCTAGGTCACAGAAAAGGAAATACAAACAGTTCTGGACATTTTATTTCTTTTTTTATTTTATTTCTTTTTATTTGAGATGGAGTTTCACTCTTGTTGCCCAAGCTGGAGTGCAATGGTGTGATCTCGGCTCACCACAACCTCCACCTCGCAGGTTCAACCGATTCTCCTGCCTCAGCCTCCTGAGTAGCTGGGATTACAGGCATGCTCCACTACACTGGGCTAATTTTGTATTTTTAGTAGATACAAGGTTTCTCCATGTTGGTCAGGCTGGTCTCGAACTCCTGAACTCAGGTGATCCACCCACCTCGGCCTCCCAAAGTGCTGGGATTACAGGCATGAGCCACTGTGCCTGGCCAGCCACTGAGCCTGGCCTTATTTTTTAATTAAAAAAAAAAATTGCCAGGCACAATGGCTCACATCTGTAATCCCAGCACTTTGGGAGGCAGATCATGAGGTCAAGAGATCGAGACCATCCTGGCCAACATGGTGAAACCCCCACTCTACTAAAAATACAAAAATTAGCTGGGTGTGGTGGTGTGCACCTGCAGTCCCAGCTACTTGGGTGGCTGAGGCAGGAGAATCGCTTCAACCCGGGAGGTGGAGGTTGCAGTGAGCCGAGATCACAGCCACTGCACTCCAGCTTGGTGACAGTGAGTCTCCGTCTCAAAACAACAACAACAACAACAACAAAACCTAACTAACAAAAAGCAAAAACGACTGAACTAAGAGAACAATTTTCCATCACGTTGAGGAACATGTTTAAGAGTTTTATGGCCAGGCGCGGTGGCTCACACCTGTAATCCCAGTACTTTGGGAGGCTGAGGCAGGCAGATCATCTGAGGTCGGGAGTTCGAGACCAGCCTGACCAACATGGAGACACCCCAACTCTACTAAAACTACCAAATTACCCAGGTGGGATGGCGCATGCCTGTAACCTCAGCTACTTGTAAGGCTTAGGCAGGAGAGTCACTTGAACCCAGAAGGCGGAGGTTGCGGTGAGCCGAGATCGCGCCATTGTACTCCAGCCTGGGCAACAAGAGTGAAACTCCGACTCAAAAAAGAAAAAAAAGAGTTTTATGGGCCGGTCGTGGTGGTTCACTCCTGTAATCCCATCACTTTGGGAGGCTGAGCCTGGTGGATCACCTGAGGTCAGAAGTTTAAGGCTAGCCCGGCTAACATGGTGAAACCTCGTCTCTACTAAAAATACAAAAATTAGCTGGGCATGGTGGTGGGCCCCTGTAATCCCAGCTACTCAGGAGGCTGAGGCAGGAGAATCGCTTGAACCTGGGAGGCAGAGGTGGCAGTGAGCCGAGATCTCGCCATTGCACTCCAGCCTGGGTGACGAGAGTGAAACTCCATCTCCAAAAAAAAAAAAGAGTTTTATGACATGCTTGTTGGAGCCGTGGGAGGAAAAAGGCATTTTATACACTGAGGATGACAGTGTATATTAAAGTCAGTTCTGTAAGGCAATTTGGCATTATCAGTCAAAATCACAAATGCACAGACCCTTTGACTCAGGAATACAGATATATTCTGATTCATGCAAAAAATGTATGGACAAGATTTTTCATTGCAAAATTGTCATATCATATAATAGGATTTTCTGCACCTGTAAAAAAAGAATGAGAAAGTTCTCTCATATACTGATAGGAAAGATCTCTAAGATGTAAGCAGAGACAAATGTGTATAAGTATGCTAACATACACATATGTATCTTCTTATGTAGTGTATGAATAAAATAACTGTGGAAATGTATACCATATTATTGTATAATGCAAGCATACATTTTTATTCTGCTTGTATATGATTTTCCTAAACTTATACATATTTACTGATAATCTACATAATGTTTATGTAGATTTCAATCTGCGTTTAACAAAATTGAATTATTACGCTAATGAATTTTATTTCAAAAATTATCTTTTGGCTGGGTGAGGTGACTCACACCTGTAATCCCAGCACTGTGGGAGGCTGAGGCAGGTGGATCACCTGAGGTCAGGAGTTTGAGACCAGCATGACTGATATGATGAGACCCTGTCTTTACTAAAAATACTAAAATTAGCTGGGCGTGGTGGTGTGGGCCTGTAGTCCCAGCTACTCAGGAGGCTGAAACAGGAGAATTGCTTGAACCCGGGAGGCGGGGGTTGCAGTGAGCGGAGATTGCACCTCTGCACTCCAGCCTGGGTGACACAGCGAAACTCCATCTCAAAAGAAAAAAGTTATCTTTCATGGTATGTCTACTTTAGAATAATTTCAAAGATCTTTAGGTAACTCAAAACCTTGTACTCATTTAATTGATGGATATCTGCTGGGTACATAAATAATTTCTAGGAAAAATGAAAGACTAAAACATGCATTATGAAGCATAATTTAAGTGTATATACTTTTTTTTTACACTTGTGGGTTTTTCGGGGTTTTTTTTGTCTTTTTTTTTCCTTTTTGTGGAGATCAGGGTTTCACTATATTGCCCAGCCAGGTCTCAAACTCCTGGGCTCAAGCTATCCTCCTGCCTCTGCCTCCCTAAGAGTTGGGATTACAGGCCTGAGCCACCACACCCGGCCTTATTTATTTATATATATTTTTTGAGACAGAGTTTCACTCTTGGTTGCCCAGGCTGGAGTACAATGGCATGATCTCGGCTCACTGCAACCTCCACCTCCCAGGTTCAAGTGATCCTCCTGCCCCCAGCCTCCCAAATAGCTGGGATTACAAGTGCCCGCCACCATGCCTGGCTAATTTTTGTATTTTTCGTAGAGATGGGGTTTCACCATTTTGACCAGGCTGGTCTTGAACTCCTGACCTCAGGTGATCCGCTCACCTCAGCCTCCCAAAGTGTTGGATTACAGGCGTGAGCCACCGCACCCGGCCTTCTGTATTTTAAGGAAAACAAAGAACTGTAGTTTTATCTTAAAGCAGCAGTTTTGTCTTAAAGTACCCAGATTTGGTTTGGGGCAGGGGGTTTGGGAGTTTTTTGTGGTTGGTTTGTTTGGTGAAACCTCTTTACACACCTCCAACATATTGAGGACACCAAAGAGCTTTCTTTGTGGATTATAGCTATTAGTATTTACTGTTAAACATTTAAACATAACTTTCTAAAAAACATTTTTTCATTCCTCTCAGCACATACCTATAAAACATACTTTTTTTTTTTTTTTGAGATGGAATCTCGCTCTGACACCCAGGCTGGAGTGCGGTGGCATGATCTTGGCTCAGTGAACCCAAGACATCCCAGGTTCAAGTGATTCTCGTGCCTCAGCCTCCTGAGTAGCTGGAACTACAGGCACCTGCCACCACATCCACCTAATTTTTATATTTTTAGTAGAGACGGGGTTTCACCATGTTGGCCGGGCTGATCTTGAACTCCTCAGGTAATCCACTCACTTTGGCCTCCCAAAGTGCTGGGATTACAGGCGTGAGCCACCATGCCCAGCTGCTATAAAACATAACTTTTAAGAAAGCTTATTTAATGATTCATTTAAAAATAGCAACAATGAATGAAGTACAATAAATATACCTCAGCAGTATTATGAAATTAGTTCTGACCTCATGGGCCCCTTGAGATTGGTCCTAAAATAAAGGGCGAGTTTACTATAGAATGCAAAAGAGCATGCTGACATGATTTTTTTTTTTTTTAGATGGCGTCTAGCTCTCTTGCCTCGGCTGGAGTACAGTGGCACTATCTTGGCTTACTGCAACCTCTGCCTCTCGTGTTCAAACAATTCTCCTTCCTCAGCCCCCTGAGTAGCTGGAAATACAGGCATGCACCACCATGCCTGGCTAATTTTTGTATTTTTAGTAGAGACAAGGGTTTCGTCATGTTGGCCAGGCTGGTCTTGAACTCCTGATCTCAGGTGATCCACCCACCTTGACCTCCCTAAGTGCTGGGATTACAGGCATGAGCCATGCGCCTGGCCTGAAGTGAATTTTATTTGCTTTGATTTATAATACCTGAGTTTGGGGGCTGGACGCAGTGGCTCACACCTGTAATCCCAGCACTTTGGGAGGCCAAGGCCAGCGAATCATTTGAGCCCAGGAGTTCCCAGTCCAGCCTAGCCAGCATGGGAAAACCTACTAAAAAATACAAAAAGTAGCCAGGTGTGGTGGTGTGTGTCTGTAAGTTCCAAACTATTCGGGAGGCTTAGGTGGGAGGATCACCTGATCCCAAGAGGCGGAGGTTGCAGTGAACAGAGATCGCACCAGTGCACTCCAGCTTGTGCGACAGAGTGAGACCCTGTCTCGATTAAATCTATATTTATATATATAATGTGTGTGTATATATATATACACACACGTAACACATTATATATATAAATAAAATACTTGATTCTGAAATATGTTAGACACTATGAAATGTTATTAAGATCTTATAGGGCCGGGCGCGGTGACTCACGCCTGTAATCCCAACACTTTAGGAGGCGGAGGCGGGCAGATCACGAGGTCAGGAGATTGAGACCATCCTGGCTAACACGGTGAAACCCCGTCTCTACTAAAAAGTACAATAAATTAGACGGGCGTGGTGGCAGACGCCTGTAGTCCCAGCTACTCAGGAGGCTGAGGCAGGAGAATGGCGTGAACCCAGGAGGCAGAGCTTGCAGTGAAGCCGAGATCGCGCCACTGCACTCCAACCTGGGCGACAGAGGGAGACTCTGTCTCAAAAAAAAAAAAAAAAAAAAAAATCTTATAAAAGTTTGCTTTTATAAGACCATACGGTTTATCATATAATGTATAATATTTTATAATATATAATGCATATAAAACACATCATATGCATTTTAACACATGAAATTTACTAACAATCTTAAAAAATTTTGTTTAATATTCATGGCCTTGTTTCCCTAGTTTACTGTTTGTTGTCTTCACCTATACTATGAAGGGTTATTCTTTTTTTCTATGTAAATCTACCTAGATAGCAAAGATTCAGTGTTTTACCAGAATTATTTTTTGATTTTCATGTTGATTTTATTATGCCCTTGGTTATTTAAAGAAACAAGATTTGTTATTTAGGAGGGAGCTAAAGTTCTTTATGATCATGTTATTTTCTATCTTTATTTTTATTTATTTTTATTTATTTTCTTTTTTTTTTAGAGACAGAGTTTCACTCCTGTTGCTCAGGCTGGAGTGCAGTCATGTGATCTCTGCTCACTGCAATCTCAGCCTCCTGGATTCAAGTGATTCTCCTGCCTCAGCCTCCCAAGTAGCTGGGATTACAGGTGCCTGCCACCACGCCCAGCTAATTTTTTGTATTTTCAGTAGAGGTGGACTTTCACCATGTTGGTCTCAAACTCCTGACCTCAGCTGATCCATCTGCCTCGGCCTCCCAAAGTGCTGGGATTACAGGAGTGAGCCACTGCACCTGGCCTATTTTTAAATGTTGTATTGTCTCTTACAAATGGGTAGGCAAGTACTACTTCTCAGATGCCTATGATCCTACACTAAGTATTCAAATCTCCTGACAATTTTGTATTTTGCATTCCCAAAATTAGTCCTAAATGTGAAATAAAATAAAATAAAAGGAATGATAGCTGAGCTTTCCCAGACATACCATTGAAAATCACAAAAGATTTGTTACTTCCCCTTATGAAAAGAGAGGTGCCAGAAATAAATAGGTGTATTTGATATGTTACTATTGGTGAATTACACAGGAATAGATGAGATTATTTTTTATCAAAAGAGAGGGAAAGTGTAGGAAAATTTTCTTTCAATGGAAAATTAAGTATTGTCTATAGCACACCCTTTCACTTTATCTGCTTTTGATTCCATGGGAGCCATTTTACAGCTTGTAAAATGTAGATAACTGATAGAAATGAAAACTAATTCTTGGCTCTAGATCTGTACATTTAATCCTGCCAGTAGAGGTTCAATTGACTTCCCTTTCCCACCCTGGAAGAAGCTGGCTTGAGCTCTGTTGGTGAATGTGTTTCAACATTCCTTTGCTCCATATAATTGAGCTTTTCTGACTTCTCCTTTGAATTAGTTATAATCTGCCATTGGAGAGTCATGATTTTATCTTTTTTTTTTTTTTTTGAGATAGCGTCTTGCTCTGTCGCCCAGGCTTGAGTGAAGGGATGCAAGCTTGGCTCACTGAAGCCTTGACCTCCTGGGCTCAAGTGATTCTCCAAACTCAGCCCCCTGAGTAGCTAGAACTACATACATGAGCCACCATGCCTGGCTAATGACGATGATGATGATGATGATGATGATGATGATGATGATGTAGCAGGGGGTTGCACTATATTGCCCAAGCTGGTCTTGAACTCCCAGCCTTAAGCGATCTTCTCACCTCAGTTTCCCAAAATGCTGCTATTATAGGCATGAGCTGCCACTCCAGGCTGATGATTTTATCTTTTTAATAAATGAATCTTTTAACAATAAGGACAATATAAGTTAGTTCATTACAAATGATGGAAGCTTATTGCATTAGAGTTTTATTCTCCTCCTTAATCCTTGTTGCAAATACCTGGAAGGCAGTAACGGAAAGACCATTAGCTGGTATTAACCTTCAACTCTGGAATATGGCACCATCTCCTACCTTGCCCCTGGCAGTTACTTTCCTCCCCTACACTTATGCAGCCTCCTAGCTGGTTGGGGCTATACTATCTTCCCTCCCTACACCAGCAGGTGGGACTGGATCAAGAGTCCTAGGCAGAAAAGAGAGGGAGAGAGAGAGAGAGAAATCAAACTTGTGAAAAGAAGGGGGAAGCTGGGCGCGGTGGCTCACGCCTGTAATCCCAGCACTTTGGGAGGCCAAGTGGGGTGGATCATTTGAGGTTAGGAGTTCAAGACCAGCCTGGCCAACATGGTGAAACCCTGTCTTTACTAAAAATACAGAAATTAGACAGGTGTGGTGGCGCACACCTGTGATCCCAACTACTCGGGAGGCTGAGGCAGGAAAATTGCTTGAACCCAGGAGATAGAGGTGCAGTGAGCTGAGATTGCGCCATTGCACTCCAGCCTGGGCAACAGAGTGAGACTCCGTCTCAAAAAAAAAAAAGAAGAAGAGGGAATAAAAGAAAATTAAACAAGAGTCCCAGTCCTGGAAGGAAAATATCAATCCTAGTCTGGAAGGGAAGAGAAGCGGAGCAGGTTTAGAGGTTAGTCCTATTGTATTCATTTTATGGGGTCGGTGCAGCAGCTGAGTTGACATAAAGATATAAATGAGGCTTAGGGCAAGGAGATGAATATTTTAAGAAACTTTTTATTGATGGATCATGTATATACATTTTAAGAATTAAACACACCCATGAAATCAGCACCCAGACCAAATGACAGAACATTACCAGCAGCTCAGAAGCCCCCCCATTTCTCTTGCAGGAAATTGATACTGAGTTCTTGTGGCATGGATTAATTTTGCTTGGTTTGTACTTTATATCAATTGTATTATACAGCATTTTTTGAGAAAATTTCTTTCATCAATTGTATTTTCATCCATAATGTTGCATGTAGTGGTAGGTCATTCATTCTTTAGTCTGATGTCAATGGGAATTTGAGTAGTTTCCAGCTTAGGACTATTATAATAGTGCAGCTATGATCATTCTTGTTTTTCTTTTCTCTTCCTTCCTTCCTTCCTTCCTCTCTTTCTGTCTTTCTCTTTCTTTCTCTCTTTCTTTCTTTCTCTCTTTCTTTCTTTCTTTCTTTCTTTCTTTCTTTCTTTCTTTCTTTCTTTCTTTCTATCTAGGGTCTCACTCTGTTCCCCAGGTTGGAGTGCAGTGATACGATCTCGGCTCACTGCAGTCTCTGACTCCCAGGCTCAAGCCATCCTCCTACCTCAGCCTCCCGAGTAGCTGGGACTACAGGCATGCACCACCACACCCAGCTAATTTTGTATTTTTAGTGGAGATGGGGTTTCGCCATGTTGCCCAGGCTGGACTCAAGCAATCTGCCTGCCTCAGCCTCCCAAAGTGTTGGGATTACAGGCGTGAGCCACCACACCCATCTTGATCATTTTTATCCATATTTTTTATGACCATGCATTTCTGCTAGGTTTATGCCTAGGAATGGAATTGCCAGGTCATATTTATTTCTATGTCTGTCAATCTGTGTATATATTAAATACGAGGAGCTCATGCCAATGCCTCTTATTCTAATTTAACACAACAGGGTTCACTCTGCCCTTCCCTTTTCATTTGTAGTTCTTTCTTTGACAGTGAGAAGCCTACCTCCCACTAAATACAATATATTTACTTAATTGCTCAATCCCAGAATACCGATAAAATAGTTTCAGAGTTGGTAACCTATATTCCCTAGCTCTGTCTGCTGAGAGGGCCTAGAGGCAGTGACACCCCAGTAACAATGAGGACATCCAGTACCCAGATCTTAGTTTCTAAATACCATTCCCTCAAAAAAGGAAGCAGAGTTTTTTGGAGAAATGATTAAGTATAGGGCGGGGTCAGTGAAATTATAAAATAATCCTGGAACATCTTATGTCAGAAAGAAAGTGCTCAAAATACAATAAGGGCATTTCAAACAAACACAGGGGGGTGACTTGAAGACTCTCACAGTGGCTGTACCTGGGACAACTGGAGCAATGAGACAAATGATGTTGGTCATGAATTATCACTGGCAGAATAAACTAAATATCCACGAGTCTATACTGAAATAATTGCAAAAGTAATTGGGAGGCAAGGGACAGCTGTTCCTTACCAATGAATTACAATTAATAAATAGAGAAGGAATTGTGAAAGTAGAAAAATCACCTGTTGGAAAACACAGCGGTAATGATTATTGCAGACAAGAATCGCCAATGAATGCCAAAATTGCTGGGTGAAAGTATGATAATAAACAAGATATTTGCATAGTGTCCAAGATATCTCCTCATAAGATACTCATTAAGTTCAAAAGGAAAAATAGGATTTTGCAATGGAGAAATCTTTGCCACATCGTCTCTCAAAGTTATCATCTCCAGTAATGGGATGCTGCAATATTACATGTGCCTCCTGATATAATGCATGGGGAAGGGTATAACCTCACTCCTGTGGTGTTCTCACCAAAAACACATAACGTCATTCTCATTTTGAGAAAGCATTATACAAACTCAAGTTGGAGGACATTCTACAAAATAATTGGCCAGTACTCTTCAAGAGTGTCAAGTTTACGAAAAACAAAAATAACTAGCCTGGATGCTTCAAAACTGTCAAAATTATGAGAGGAGGAGAAAGACTGAGGAGCTGTCCTGAATGGAAGGATCCTACTGAGACACGGCAGCGGAATGCCACTTGCAGTCCTGGATTGCATTCTGGAGCAGAAAAAGGACGTCAGTGGCGCTACTGGCAATACTGAATAAGGCTTGTGGATTCTCACACAGTATTGCATTAATGTTTGTTTCCTGACTTTGATAATTCTGTAGCTATGTAAGATGTTAATATTTGGGGAGGGTGATGAAGGTTGTACAATAATTTGCTGTACTCTTTTTGTAAGCTCAAAATTATTTCCAAGGAAAAAGACAAAAAGAAAGAGGGAATTGGATGGGATTGTGTCATTCTTCAGCCAAAAACCCTGCTGGCACCTCTGCCTACAGCAAGAAAGTTTACTCTTTTGAGAGTGGCATTTGAGGCCCTCCCTAATCTGACCAAAACTTCCCCCAGATTTACTGCCCACTCACCTGTCACCCACCCACCTTTGTTAAACTCCATGGCATGCAGGATGCACTGCTTAGAAAACTCCTACTCATGTTCAAAGACCCCTTTGTGAGGCCTTTACTTTACACCTCCTTCAGGAAGCAGAGTTAGCTGCCAGCTCCTCCTTGGTCACCAGTCATCTCTCCTGGAAACCTTGATCCTCCTCCAGGACCACTGCAGGCCTAGCTGGCATTACTCACAACCCTTTCTGCCCTCAGGAGATTTATAACCTACAAGTACATACAGCAAAGAAAACATAGTGACAGGCCCAGGAAAGCAGGTTAGAGGCAGGTGAGCAAGAGAATTTACATTGTGTTGTGACCATAGATGTTATTATTACTCCATCTTTGTTGATGAGGCTCAGGGAGAGGAGGTGAACTGCCTGAGGCTACACCACCAATAAGGACAAAGTCACGATTTGAACTCAATTCCTCTGCCTCCTTTACTAAGAGATACTAACTCAGAAATGCTCTGAACAGTCAGCCAAGCAATGTCTTCAGACAGTTTATATTTTACTTCAACTCTCACCTCAAGGAGCCAAAATAAGATCATCTCCCTAGAGAGCATTGCAGAGAAAATTCTCAAAGAGCTTGAGGGAAATGCCAACCCACTCCTACCCGCTGAGCCCACAGGGAATTCAGGAATCATAGCTTGACAGATTCTCAGGAAATAGTCATGGATTTCACAATGAACTGAATTGACACTTAGCAATGTGAATCTGCTGCAAAAACATCTCAAAACCGAGTAAGTGGATACCAGGCACTATGGGTGGCTGAGTTCTTTTGCTGGACCCTCCATTTAGGCCAGTTTTCTCCTCTTCTAAACATGGATTTATCACTTCAAAAGACACTGGTTAGAAAACTGCTATTGCTAAGCTCTGGGATAATCACAGAACCCATCACATAGGGTAGCAGCCAAGATTAACTGAAAAATAGACTATGTAGCCATGGAATACTACTCAGCCATAAAAAGGAATAAAATAATGGCATTTGCAGCAGCGTGGATGGAGGTGGAGACCATTATTCTAAGTGAAGTAACCCAGGAATGAAAAACCAAAAATCATATGTTCTCATTTGTAAGTGGGAACTAAGCTATGAGGACGCAATGCATAAGAGTGATATAATGGACTTGGGGACTGGGGGAAGAGAGTGTGGGAGGGGGTGAGGGATAGAAGACTACACATTGAATACAGTATACACTGCTCAGGTGACAGGTGCACCAAAATCTCAGAAATTGCCACTAAATAACTTATCCATGTTGGCCAGGCACAGTGGCTCACACCTGTAATCCCAGCCACTAAATAACTTTTCTTTTTTATTTTTACTGTACCCTTTCTTTTTTCTTTTTTTTTTTTTTTGGAGACAGAGTCTCACTCTGTTGCCCAGGCTGGAGCGCAGTGGCGCGCAGTCTCTGCTCACTGCAAGCTCTGCCTCCCAGGTTCACGCCATTGTCCTGCCTCAGCCTCCCGAGTAGCTGGGACTACAGGTGCATGCCACCACGCCCAGCTAATTTTTTGTATATTTTTTAGTAGAGACGGGGTTTCACCGTGTTAGCCAGGATGGTCTCGATCTCCTGACCTCGTGATCCACCCGCCTCAGCCTCCCAAGGTGCTGGGATTACAGGTGTGAGCCACCATGCTCAGCCTACTGTACCTTTTCTATGTTCATTTAAAAGTAACTGAAAGAGTACATACAATTGGAATGTTTGTAACACAGAAAATGATAAATGCTTGAGGTGATAGATACCCCATTTACCTTGATGTAATTATTACACATTGTATGCCTGCATCAAAACATCTCATGTGCCCCATAAATATATATCTACTATGTACCCATAAAAATTAAAAAAATTTTAATCAGAAGAAAATAAATCTATAACAAAATTTTTACAAATTAAAAAAACCAGACTATGTAGTACTTCACACTGGGTTAGACGATGAATTCGAAATCATGAATGTTGGCTGTTAGGAATATAACTATTTATTATAACTGTTAATATTATGATTATTATTATTATTGAGACAGAGTCTGGCTCTGCACCCAGACTGGAGTGCAGTGGCACGATCTCGGCTCACTGCAACCTCTGCCTCCCATGTTCAAGCGATTCTCCTGCCTCAGTCTTCCTGTAGCTGGGATTACAGGTGCACACCACCACATCCAGCTAATTTTTTAAGAATATTTTTGGTAGAGATGGGGTTTCACCATGTTGACCAGGCTGGTCTCGAACTCCTGACCTAGAGTGATCCACCCACCTCGGCCTTCCAAAGTGCGAGGATTACAAGATAAGCCACTGTGCCTGGCCAATATCATTATTATTATTATTATTATTATTATTATTATTATTTTGAGACAGTCTTGCTCTGTCATACAGGCTGGAATGCAGTGATGCAATCTCAGCTCACTGCAACCTCTGCTTCCCGGGTTTAAGCAATTCTCGTGCCTCAGCCTCCCAAGTAGCTGGGATTACAGGCATGTGCCACCACCCCTGGCTAATTTTTTTTTTTTTTTTTTCTTTCTTTCTTTCTTTTTTTTTTTCTTTTTTTTTTAGTAGAGACAGGGTTTCACCATGTTGGCCAGGCTGGTCTCAAACTCCTGATTTCAGGTGATCCGCCCACCTCACCTCCTGAAGTGCTGGGATTATAGGCGTGAGCCACCACACCCGGCCATAACTGTTAATATTAAACCTCTACCCTCATTCTACACTTTGCTTCTCCCTGTACCAAGCGGATCTTCCTATCTTCCTACATCTTCTCCTACCTGGGAGGATTCAGGGCCACATGTAAGAAAGGGGGCAAAATAAAGGGGTTATGCCTATTGCAGCACAATTCATAATTCCCAAGGTACAGAACCACCTTAAGTGCCCATTGATCAATGAATGGATAAAGAAAATGTGGTATATATGCACTATGGACTACTACTCAGTCATAAAAAGGAACGAAATAATGTCTTTTTTGTTTTTTTTTTTTGAGATGAAGTCTCGCTCTGTCACCCAGGCTGGAGTGCAGTGGCGCGATCTCGGCTCACTGCAAACTCTGCCTCCCGGGTTCACGCCATTCTCCTGCCTCAGCCTCCCGAGTAGCTGGGACTACAGATGCCGGCAACCATGCCTGGCTAATTTTTTTTTTTTTTTTTTTTTTTTTTTTAGTAGAGACAGGGTTTCACCGTGTTAGCCAGGACGGTCTCGATCTCCTGACCTCATGATCCGCCTGCTTCGGCCTCCCAAAGTGCTGGGAATACAGGCGTGAGCCACTGCACCCAGCAGAAATAATGTCTTTTGAAGCAACTTGGATGGAGTTGGAGACCATTATTTTAAGTGACGTAACTCAGGAATGGAAAACCAAATACCATATGTTCTCACTTATAAGTGAGAGATAAGCTATGAGGACACAGAGACATACAGAGTGATATAATGGACTCTGGAAACTCAGAACGGGGAGGATGGGTGGGGAGTGTGGAATAAAATACGACATGTTGGGTACGATGAACACTACTTGGGTGGTGCACGCACTAAAATCTCAGAATTCACCATTATACAATTCATTCATGCAACCAAATATAACTTGTACCCCCAAAGCTACTGAAATTTTATAAAATTAATAACAATTTAAAAAGAAACAGTTCTCTTTCTGCCTCCACTGCCACCATGGCTCCCGGGAAAAAGCTTGTGGTGAAGAGGGGCAAAAAAAAGAAGCAGGTTCTGAAGTTCAGTCTTGATTGCACCCACCCCGTAGAATATGGAATCATAGACGCTGCCAATTTTGAGCAGTTTCTGCAAGAGAGGATCAAAGTGAACTGAAAAGCTGGGAAACTTGGCGGAGGGGTGGTGACCATCGAAAGGAGCAAGAGAAAGATCGCCATGATATCTGAGGTGACTTTTTCCAAAAGGTATTTGAAATATTACACCAAAAAATATTCAAAGAAGAATAATCTATGTGATTGGTTTTCGTAGCTGCTAACAGCAAAGAGAGTTATGGATTACATTATTTCTAAACTAATCAGGACGAGGAAGATGAGGATTAAATTTCATTTATCTGGAATATTTTGTATGAGTTCTTGAATAAAACTTGGGAACAAAAAAAAAAAAAAGAAAAAGAAACAAAAAACTTCTTATTTTTTTCTTTTTTTGAGATGGGTCTCACTCTGTCACCCAGGCTGGCATATGCAGTAATGTAATCATAGTTTACTGCCGCCTCGACTTCCCAAGCTCCTGCCATCCTTCCACATCAGCCCCCTGAATAGCTGGGACTACAAGTGTGTGCCACCACACCCGGCTAATTTTTAAATTTTTTTTGTAGAGACAGGGTATGGCTATGTTGTCCAGGCTGGTCTTGAACTCCTGAACTCAAGCCACCCTCCTGCCTCAGCCTCCTAAAGTGCTAGGATTACAGGAGTGAGCCACTACTTCCAACTTCAAAAAAACAAATCTCAACCCATCAAGTCGCCCCCTCCTTTTCCTTCCCCCGAGAGACATCCACATTCACACTTCACTGGCTCACTTTCTCTGGCTATAACTTCTGTGCCTTGGGTTAGTAGCCCCTCTTCATCTGTGCAGAATGGGCTAGGTTTGCCCAGTGCTCACTGAGAGCTCTCCCGGCGTGGGTCTTTCTGGTACCTCTGGAAATCTTCTCTTGTGCCAAAGGAAGAAGACAAGGAGGCTTTGTACAGCTCAGGCCCTCCCAGCCACTGACGCTCTTTTAATTGGGCTGTCCTCTCACCCCATCTCTCTCCCCAAAGAGATGACCAGCCCCTATTTCCTGTTTCCTTTGGCCCTTTGCCTTTGGGTATGGATTGGGAGAGCAAGCCCCTGCCAGATTTCCCACCACTTGTGCCCCGGCCCAGCCAGGCTGGGAGGACCTGAGCACATCCTGTAGCATTGCCTGTGGAGGCAGTACAGGTGCCTGGGAGGCAAATCCCTAACTAGTCTCTGTGTGCCCTGGGCCCACCTCCTAACTTCTCCAAGCCTTACATTCTGTATGCTCCCATGACCCTGGCAGGTAGCCTCACAGTCCACGCAGATTGTGACGGTATCTGCCAGGGTCATGGGAGCATTAAGTGAAAGAGAAACGTCTGCACATTAGGGCACTTCATTCATGCAGGTGGTTATGAGCGTTCTCCCCTAACTGCACAGGGCTTGCCACTCTGCGCCCCCCATATCCCATTCATCCCTTTCTCACCTCCACTCTTCAGATTCTCTATTTAGTGCCTTTCCTGGGACTTCAGAGTCAAGAGGCCTGATCATGCAGAGGACCATGAATTTTGGAATCGGATCCACCTAGCTTCCAAACTGGGATCTGCCACCCTCTACTCTTGAATCAGATATACTTAATAGATCTTATTTTTTTAAATGGGGATAAGGATATCTACTTGATAGGTTTACTGATGCAAGGATTAAATAGGGTAATGCATATACAGCCTTAGCACAATACCAGGTTCAGAGAAGTTTAGCAAATAATAGAATAATAATAAATAATAAGAGGTATGACTAGATCCAGCTGGCTACCCACCTTGCTTTGAGGCCTGGTATATGGTTGGCATATTTCTCTAGTTCCTGCCACTGATGCCGGTCTCCCCTATCTTTAATTTCACTGGTCACTTTCAAGAATATTGGAAGGAGGAGGTTTGTCAACTGGGTCCACTGGCTCCATACTATCATTTTGCCCAGGAGTTTCCCTTTACATGTTTGGGCCAGTTTCTGTTGGTATACAGAAATAAATTGATTTCCAAACACTTATCTTAATTTTTTTTTTTTTTTTGAGACAAATTCTCACTCTGTCGCCCAGGCTGGAGTGCAGTGGCACGATCTCGGCTCACTGAAACCTCCGCCCCCTGGGTTCAAGCAATTCTCCTGCCTGAGCCTCCCTAGTAGCTGGGATTATAGGCGTGTGCTACCACGCCTGGCTAATTTTTGTATTTTTAGTGGAGACAGGGTTTCTCCATGTTGGCCAGGCTGGTCTCGAACTCCTGACCTCAAGTGATCCACCTGCCTCTGCCTCCCAAAGTGCTGGGATTAACAGGCATGAGCCACTGCACCCAGCCAAACACTTGTTGATAGTGGCATCTTTTTTTATTTTTTAAATTTTTAATTTAATTTTAAGTTTTTAAATTATTTATTTATTTTTTAGAACAGTGTCTCACTCTGTCACCCAGGCTGGGGTGCAGTGGTGTGATTATAGCTCACTGCAGCCTCAAACTACTAGGCTTAAGCGATCTTCCTGCTTCAGCCTCCCCAGTAATAGGTGTGTGCCACAACGCCCCGCTAATGTGTGTGTGTTTTTTTTAATTTTTAGTAGAGATGGGATCATGCTGTGTTCCCAAGGTTGGTTTCAAACTCCTGGGCTCAAGTGATCCTCCCACCTTGGCCTCCCAAAGTGCTGGGATTATAGGCATGAGCCACCATGCCTGGCCAATAATGGCATCTTTACCTCATTCCTGATTTAATAAAGAATACATTTCTCCTTTCTCTGTTATGTACAGATGAACTATTTAAGATAAAAGTAGTTGGCGGGGCATGGTGGCTCATTCCTGTAATCCCAGCACTTTGGGAAGCTGAGGCGGGAGGATTACTTGAGCCCAGGTGCTCAAGACCAGCCTGGGCAACACAGCAAGACCCCTCGTCTCTATTTTTATTATTTTTTTAATTTGAAAAACTATAAATATAAAAATTAAAGGTAGTTATCTTGTTAAGGAAATGTCCCATTATTTCCTTTATTTTTATCCTAAGTTTGTTGTTATTACTGTTTTTAAGTTAGGGAGGCCTGTTTAATTTCATCAAATATGGTTTCAGTATTTATTGAAATTATATGTCTGTTTTGCATTTTTGTTTCCTTGACCTTGTGACAGACATGATGTAGAGAGATTTTCCCAGAACTCCCCTCGGAAATGAGTAGCTAGCCAACTACTTTATGTTCAAAGTAGTGGTAAAAGGATGGACTAGGCAATAAAGAGCATTAGGACATTTAGATACCCATTTAGGGAAAAATTTAAGTTTGATTCCTTCCTTGCAACCACATAAAAATTCTAGATGGATTAGACATTAGACCTTGAGAAAACCTTAAAACTGTTTGAAGGAAACATAGAAAAATATCTTTACAGCCTTGATTCGAGGAATCATAAGCAAGTTGTAAACTCTATAAGCCATAAAAGAAAATATTGGGAGGCCGAGGCGGGCGGATCACGAGGTCAGGAGATTAAGACCATCCTGGCTAACACGGTGAAACCCCGTCTCTACAAAAAATACAAAAAATACAAAAAATTAGCCGGGCGCGGTGGCGGGCGCCTGTAGTCCCAGCTACTCGGGAGGCTGAGGCAGGAGAATGGCGTGAACCCAGGAGGGCGGAAGTTGCAGTGAGCCGAGATAACGCCACTGCAGTCCGGCCTGGGCGAAAGAGAGGGACTCCGTCTCAAAAAAGAAAAAAAAAAAAAAAAAAAAAGAAAAGAAAATATTGAGAGATTTGGCTACCTAATATTTAAAACTTCTGAATGATGAAAGACACCACCAAGAAACTTAAATATAATGGAAGGCTGGAAGAAGACATTGCCAACATATATAACAGGCATTGCATTAATAATCAGAGTATATAAAGGAAAGGGAGGAAAATAGAAAAAAGTAATCGAAGAAGCAAATAAAGCTTAACCTCACTCATAACAAGTAGCATGTAAATAACAATAACAACAAGGTAACATTTTCCATCATCAAGCTGTCAAAATTTTAAATAATAAATATCCAGTGTTGGAGAATGTAGGTGACTGATAGGTTTACACTTCAGGTATCTCCAATCCAGAAGGGTTTTTTTTGTTTTTTTGTTCTGTTTTGTTTTTGAGACGGAGTCTCACTCTGTCACCCAGTGCAGTGGGTGACACTGCAGGAGTGCAGTGGCGCAATCTCGGCTCACGGCAAGCTCCGCCTCCCGGGTTCATGCCATTCTCCTGCCTCAGCCTCCCGAGTAGTTGGGACTACAGGCGCCCGCCACCACGCCCGGCTAATTTTTTGTGTTTTTAGTAGAGACGGGGTTTCACCATGTTAGCCAGGATGGTCTCAATCTCCTGACCTCGTGATCCACCCGCCTCGGCCTCCCAAAGTGCTGGGATTACAGGCGTGAGCCGCCGCGCCCAGCGCAGAAGTATTTTATGTAAATGGCGCCCCCTGCAGCCCAATTCCTACCTAGACTAACATGCTCAGGTGCACCTTGGAACAGCGCTGGAAGACCCCTTGCCCCTCCTGTGGGCTTAGTAACAATTTGGGGAACAGTTTTTGGCCTATCTGGCAAAATGTAAAAGGCCTTTGACGCAATGATTCCTCTTCCAGCCTTTCAGAAATATGTACATACAGGAATATGTACTACGTACATGAAGATATATGCAAAGGAATGTTTATTAAAGCTTATTTTATATTGGAGAGAAAAAGGAAGCAATCTACATGTCTGTCAATAGGGGACTGTTTGGATAAATAATGCTCCTTGTATCCATTCATGGGATATTTTAACTCTTAAAAGGAATGAAGTGGATTTATCTGTACCCACATAGACTGATCTCCAAGATTATTTTCTTTTATTTTAAGATGGAGTCTTGCTCTGTTGCCCAGGCTGGAGTGCAGTGGTGCAATCTTGGCTCACTGCCACTTCCGCCTCCTGGGTTCTGATTCTCCTGCCTCAGCCTCCTGAGTAGCTGGGACTACAGGCGCCCAACACCACGCCCTGCTAATTTTTTGTATTTTTAGCAGAGACGGAGTTTCACCACGTTGGCCAGGTTGGTCTCAAACTCCTGGCCTCAGGTGATCCACCCACCTCGGCCTACCAAAGTGCTGGGATTACAGGCGTGAGCCACTGCACCCAGCCAAGATTTAATGTTATGACTGAGATAAACATGAATGAAAGCAAATCTTCAAAATATCTATGACTTGATCTCATGTATATACATTTGTGTCTGAATATACATTAGGTAGATGGGGAATGCATAGACGTGGAACAGGCAGAGCCTACCAAGTTGAGGGGACTGGACCTGAATCATTGGACGGAGGGAATTCGTAACAGAAAAGACTTTCATGTTTTACTCTGTATACTTAATTACTTTATGCTCTACCGCAACAATAATGTATTGTATATGTTTTTGTGTGTGTGTGTGTTTTCTTAGTCTTAAATTCAAAATATAAGGTAGCCCACTGGCTCTAAGCTACAAGAATCCTTATGAGTTGGGCAGTTCTTTGACAACTTTTTTTCCCACCTGGCGAAACTATCAAGGAATGTCCTACCACCAAGCGTGAGAAATTTTTGGCATTCCTGAAATAAATTCTTCTTCTGAGCCAGCTCATGTGGGCATCATAATCTCCTTGAAGGCTTTTAAAAGATTTAGATCTGAGTCTGTCTCAGATTCTCGGGCTCAGAACCAGAATTTCTCCGTCTGAGGCTACTATCTTGCTCTGGAGGAGGGAGTGAGAACTGGATCACTGGTTAGCGTGGTAACTGTTTTGGACAATTGCATAGCCACAGCCAGGAACACAGAAGGCAGAGAGGCAGCCTTGATCTGCAAGAGCTCCAGGTAATCCCAACGGGGACCCTTGATGGACAAAGGCATTCTCCCAGGCTTGGTGATGAATGTGTTCCACTTACAGCCAGACGAGACACTCACTCAGGGCTCTGCAGCAGAGAAGTTAGAGCTACAGCTTTTTTGCTTTGTGTTTTTACTAAAACTTAATTTGTTGTTGCACTTGTTGGATGGGCATGTCCCATAGGGGAAGTTTCCACTACTGTGCTCTAAACTTTGGGCTGCTTGTACCATCTTACTTATCCCCTCATTAATAATGAATTGAATAAAATCTTTAGTATATGCTAATTTCATATCTTTGCGAGAGTTACGATTTTACCTTTTCTTTTTAAAATTACCTTTTCATATTTCTATCACTCCCTTACCAGAGCAGTGAGTTTCTGGGTCTCCCTCTTAGGGGCAGACACTGTTCCATGTAATTAGAATTAATTTCTTGTTCGTAGGTAGACAGAGAAAAGCTGCCAAACTCCCAGGAGACAGGGGTTCAGATCCTGTGCTATGGCTGAGAGTGATGCCGAGGAAGACACTTCCCTCCGAGTCTTAGTCTGCCCGCCTGTGAAACTGGCTCGTAACAAACCCCTGACCCCAGGCTCGGTCGCCTTGAGCCCAAGACCTCACCCAATGCCCCCCGCCCCGCCTTCCCTCCCGGGCTCCCAGGAGGTGCGGGGACTCGGGGGGCGGCCCCTTCCTCGGGAGGCGCCCAGGTGGCACGTCGGTGCCTCAGCTCCCGGGGTCTCTGGGCTCCGCGCTGCCCACGGGGTGCCGAGGGGCCTCTGGAGGGGGCGGGTTCTCTCGAGCCAGAAAGTCCGGAGCCGCCCAGGAATTTTGGCTCGAACTGAGTGCATTTCCTCTCGGGCCGGCCGGGTGCGATCCGGGAAGGGCGGCTGCGGGCAGACGCGGCGCTGCGCTCGGCCAGGCCGGCACCATGCGGCCCCTGCTCTGCGCGCTGACCGGACTGGCCCTGCTCCGCGCCGCGGGCTCTTTGGCCGGTGAGTGGGGCGCAGGGCGCGGCAGGGGACCTGGAGCCGGGGAGACCCGCAGATGGCGAGGAAGGAATGAGCGAGAGAGACGGAGAGAGAGCTGGACACAGCAGCGAGATGGACAGAGAGGCAGATGCAGGGAGGGAGGGATGGAGAGAAAGATTGAGAGGAAACAGACTCAGAAAAAGGCAGAGAAGTAGAGCAACGGAGAGATAAAGGAGATAGGGAAGAATACACAGTGAAAAGGAAAAAGGAGAGGCTGAGACAGAAAGAGGCTTCCCCTGAACAGATATGAACTAAGATAGAAAGAAAAAGGAGTTTGAGAGACAAAAGAGAAGAAGGAAAGAGAAAAAGTGATTAAAATGGCAAGGGGTGGAGGGAGAGAGGATATTGAAGAAAAGAGAAAGATTTGAGAGAGACCAAAAAGGAGAGAGAGGGAAGCTCGATGCCCGGAGTAGAGCTGGCAAGAGAGAAGGAGCCAGGATCTGGAGTGGGAGGTCACAGCTGCTGGGTGGGGCAGCCCCGGAGGCCAGCTCCATCTCAGAGGGCCTGTGGAGGCTCAGGCCTGGCTTTATAGGACATTGCATAAGAAGCCACACTCCAAAGGATGAGTGACCCAGGCTAGCCCAGCACAGCCTTAAGGAACCAGGCAGTCGGGCCCAGGAGAAAGGCCACCGATTCACCTGCCAGGTGGCCTCAGGTGGATCTGCAGTCAGTGAAGAAGTCAGCCTCCCGGTTTCCAGGGAGCTTCTCTGGGAAACTGAGCTATGTTGGGTGGAGATGGGGGACTGGGTGGAGGTGGAGAGCTGTGCGGAGGAGAGAGGCTGTCTGGGTACTCCATTAGCTGGGTTCCTTGCTTTTCACTGTCCGCTTTCTTCCCCTCACCTACCCCTCAGGCGGGCGGATCACAAGCTCAGGAGATCAAGACCAGCCTCGCTAACATGGTGAAATGCTGTCTCTATTAAAAATACAAAAAATTAATCGGGCGTGGTGGCACATGCCTGTAGTCCCAGCTACTCGGCAGGCTGAGGCAGGAGAATCACTTGAACCTGGGAGGCGGAGGTTGCAGTGAGCCGAGATCAAGCCACCGCAATCCAGCCTGGGTGACAGAGCAAGACTCAGTTTCAAAAAAAAAAAAAAAAGAAGAAGGAAAGGAGGAAAGTATTCATGTATTAGTGTAATTTCACACTGATTTCATATATTTTTGTGCATAATCTTTCAGATTTTAGATGATATATCTTAACTTTTGATTATGAAAACTTTTGGATACAAAAAAATACAAAGTAATAGTATGTGAAAGAATCATGTAATATACTTATCAACGCTGCTTCAAGAAGTATCAGTTCATGGGCAGTTTTATCTCATCTATAGCCTCCACCCTCTCTCCCCTCCCTGGATTATTTTAAAGGAAATCCAGGCATTGTATATTTTCTTTCTTTCTTTCTTTCTTTTTTTTTTTTTTTTGAGACAGGATTTCATTCTGTCACCCATGCTAGAATGCAGTGGCACAATCTCAGCTCACTGCAACCTCCGTCTCCCGGGTTCAACTGATTCTCCTGCCTCAGCCTCCTGAGTAGCTGGGACTACAGGCACGCACCACCACACCTGACTAATTTTGGTATTTTTAGTAGAGATAGGGTTTCACCATGTTGGCCAGGCTGGTCTCGAACTCCTGGGCTCAAGTGATCCACCTGCCTTGGCCTCCCAAAGTGCTGGGATTACAGGTGTGAGCCACAATGCCTGGCCTGGCATCATGTATTTTCATCTATAAATATTTCTTTGTGTACCTCTAAGAGATAAGCACTCTTAATAAACATAACTGCAATGCTATGATCATACTCCAAAAACTGTGTGTGATTGAATATCATTAAATATTCAATCACTGTTCAAATGTCCTTGATTGATTGTGTCATATCTTTTTGCAATTCATTTGTTTGATCCAAATAAGGTTACATACACTGCATTTGGTCAATATGTCTGTTAGATCTCTTTAAATATGTAAGTCTTCTCTCCCCTTTTTTTACTTAATTTTTTGTTTTTGTTGAAGAAACTAAGTTTGTCCTGTAAAGTTTTCCACATTTAGATTTTGCTAATTGCATCCCTTTTATGTCATTTAAATACCTCCACCCCTTATATTTTCTATAAATTGAGAGCTATCTCTAGCACGTCCAACTTCCAACCTTGGTTTGTTTGTTTGTTTATTTATTTATTTATTTATTTGAGATGGAGTCTCGCTCTGTCTCCCAGGCTGGAGTGCAGTGGTGCGATCTCCGCTCACTGCAAGCTCCGCCTCCCGGGTTCACACCATTCTCCTGCCTCAGCCTCCCAAGCAGCTGGGACTACGGACGGCTGCAACCATGCCCGGCTAAATTTTTTTTGTATTTTTAGTAGACATGAGGTTTCACTGTGTTAGCCAGGATGGTCTCGATCTCCTGACCTTGTGATTTGCCCGCCTCGGCCTCCCAAAGTGCTGGGATTACAGGTGTGAGCCACTGCGCCCGGCCTTTTTTTTTTTTTTTTTTTTTTGAGACAGAGTCTTGTTTTGTCATCCAGGCTGGAGTGCAGTGGTGCGATCTCAGCTCATCACAACCTCTGCCTCCTGGGTTCAAGCAATTCTCGTGCCTCAGTCTCCCAAGTAGCTGGGATTACAGGTGTGCACCACCACACCCAGCTAATTTTTGCATTTTTTAGTAGAGACGGGGGCTGCGGGGGAGTTTCACCATGTTGGCTAGGCTGGTCTCAAACTCCTGACATCAAGTGATCAGCCTGCCCCGGCCTCCCAAAGTGCTGGGATTACAGGCATGAGCCACCGCGCTGGGCCCAAGTCTTGGTTTCTTTTAGCAGCACTCAGAGAAACCTTTATCCCTGATGGCTTTTTAGACCATGAGCCACCACGCCCGGCCCATATTTTGGAGTTTTTTATAAAATCACTTGAAGAATAGTTTTCTGCTGCTTTCAAAAATGATCAAAACCCGTGGATGGTTTTGAGTGAATCATACATTTTAATACAAATATTGGATGTGGTAAATTTATTATTCTATTATGTTGAATGTGGTCAAATATAATTAACCCCCAAGTGGCCAGGGTTGCTTTTCAAAGCAGAGTGTGACTTTGACAATTCAGAAGATACAGCGGCACCTTTCAGATGCCACTGAGAAAACATTTCTCAACCCCCAGCATGCAGAAATCATCTGTGTTGTGGCCCTTTCTTACTGTTTGGGTCCAGATACAAAAGGTCTCCCCATAAGGCCTGTAAGTAGAAGCACCCGTACTTCCGCCTCAGAGGATGGGACCCAGGGGCCACGTCTCTTTAACTGGGGCAGCCAGCCCAGCCGAGCCCTCCTCTGGGGCCTCCGGGCTCCACAGCAGCGTGTTCTCACCAGCACAGGATGCCCCACCCATGGCCACCATCCAGGGTGCACATCAGGCCCCTAGCAGGAGCCGGGCCAGAGAAAACAACGCAGCATCCAAGGAGGTCCATTTCCCAACTGGCAGGGCCTGGGAGAGCGGGAGGAAAGGAAGGAAGGGAGCCCTGAGGAGCCACAGCCTTGGCTGCTCAGGGTTAATCATCATAATCCTTCAGTCTTTTCCACTCCCCTTGTCTGAGCCACTGACAGCCCTGTGGTGCATGTGCGTGTCTACTATTTTTTATTCATTTATTTATTTTCTTACAAGACACAGTCTTTCACTGTCACCCTGGCTGCAGTGCAGTGGTGCAATCGTAGCTGACTGTAGTCTCAAACTCCTGGGCTCAAGCGATTCTCCCGCCTCAGCTTTCCAAATACCTGAGACTACAAGTATATACCACCAATCCTGGCTAATTTTTTTTTAATTTTTATTTTATTTATTTATTTATTTATTTATTTATTTATTTTTGTAGAGACAGAGTCTCACTATGTTGCCCAGAGTGACCTCAAACTTCTGGCTTCAAGCGATCCTCTTGCCTCAGCCTCCTAAAGCTCTGGGATTACAGGTGTGAACCACCGAGCCCAGCTCGTCTAGCTAATTCTTGAGGCCTCTCTGCAGCCTCCAAAAGACAGAAGAATTAAGGATGCGCTACACGGGGGAGTCAGGGCCTCAGGCCTACCCTACCCCATTTTATGTAAGAGGCAGCAGAGGCTCAGGGAGCAGAAGAAACTTTCTCACAATCCCACAATCATTAGTGGCTGAACCAGGCTGAGAAAAGGGGTCTCCAGCATGTTTTCTACCATGATGCGTTCAAGTCAGCGCTGTGGTGAGGATGCTGGCAGTACAATGTCAGGCCCTGCTCCAAGCTTGCTCTCTCAGATGCACTCTGTGGAGGCCCCGATGAGCTCACGGACAGTTGCTCCAGGGTGCACAAAGCACAGTTTTGTCCAGATGTGAAGGATTAGTGCTGAGCCATGTTGGGAGCGACCTCAGCCCAGCCTTTTCCCTGGAGGGGTTTTGGAGCCAAGTTAGACCTCATCACAGACACGTAGAGAACAGGGTGGTTTAGGCCAGTGGAGGGGAGCAGGCTCTGGTTGTTCTGACTTCCAAAGCAGCCAGACTCCCATTTGGCTGGCAGGGTCACACTGCATCCCCCTGGCCTGAGCCTTACACGGGAGAGTGGCTAGGGTCTGGGAGAGGGCAGGTGAGCCTCAGAGAAAAGGCTTGGCCAAAGGCCTCTGGACAGAGCCAGCAGGGGGGTATGTGTATCCACAGACTCATGACAACAGGCCCTCCCCTAGGACGGCCACTCTGTGGGTGACAACAGAGGCCCCCTCAGAGCTTTTCCTCTCCAAGCTGAGCAGCCCAGTTTCAGCTGAGAGAATTGAGTTAAAATTTGGAGTCCCAGACTGGGTGCGGTTGTTCACTCCTATAATCCCAGCACTTTGGGAGGCCGAGACAGGCGGATCACTTAAGCCCAGGGGTTTGAGCTTAGCCTGGGCAACGTAGTGAAATCCTATCTCTACAAAAAATACAAAACGTAGCCAGGCATGGTAGTGTGTGCCTGTAGTCCCAGCTACTCTGGAGGCTGAGGTGGGAGAATTGCTTGAACCCGGGAAGAAGAGGTTGCAGTGAGCCATGATTGTGCCACTGCACTTCAGCCTGGGTGACAGAGTGAGACCCTGTCTAAAAAAAAAAAAAAAAAAGAGGAGTCCCTTCCCATAGCCTCCTCTAGACCTGCTCCTGCCTCTCAAGGGCCTTCTCAGGATGTGGGGCCAGGATGGAGCATAGCCCCCAGGGGCCTCTCTCTCTCTGAATATTTTACATGAATGCCTGCAGCCCACAATGGCTGCTGCTTTCTGCTGACAACCTCGTCAGACAGCCAGCTTTTGTTATGGAACATTTCAAATCGTGCACACAACAGTAGACAGAATCGCTGAATGCACCCCCATTTGCTCATCACCCAGCTTCAACAATCAGCAACTCTCAGCCCATCCTGTTTGCTCTAAACATCCACGCATGCCTCTCCACCATCCCCACTGAGGCCTGGATTATTTACTTTGGAAGTAAATCCAAGACAGCACAGCCTTTCATCTGTAAATATTTCAGTATAGGTCTTTAAAATACTTGCATTAAAAAAATAACCAAAGGGCCATTATAATGTCCTCCTCCCTCCCCAGATTCAGCAATAACACCATTATCTTTTGAAGAGTATTTTCTAAGTTCAGTGGAGGGAAATAATGAAAAGGATAATTTGGAAAACAGATTGTTCTCCACAAAAGATGCTCAGAGTGGAAGGACATTTTGTCTCTGGTCCTGTTCTCATCTCTGAGTGGAAGTGCTGAGAGCTAGATAGAGTTGGAATCAGAAAATCACAGGGCAGGGGGTCCCCACCTTGCTGAGATGAGAACAGGAGGTCAGGGTGCCTGAGGTCCAGGCATTTGCAGATGGTGTGACCTTGGGGAAATCACTCAGCCTCTCAGAGTTACACATCCATCATCAGCTCTGTCCTACCTCAAGACCTGCCCCACTTCTAGACAACTGCAGATGGCCCCTTGGCCAACCCATCCAATACCAAGGCCTTACAGCTACAAGCATTGCACGTAGAGAGATCAAGTTCCATAACTCCCCCTATTGAGCTTTGGATGCCCGCATCCATGGCCACAGCCTTAATATTGTCACTCTCTGAAGCTGCTCGACCTCTAAAAGTTAAATTGCAATATTCCTTTTTTTTTTTTTTTTTTGAGACGGAGTCTAGCTCTGTCACCCAGGCTGGAGTGCAGTGGCGCGATCTCCACTCACTGCAAGCTCTGCCTCCCGGGTTCACGCCATTCTCCTGCCTCAGCCTCCCTAGTAGCTGGGACTACAGGTGCCCACCGCCACGCCCGGCTAATTTTTTTGTATTTTTAGTAGAGACGGGGTTTCACCGTGTTAGCCAGGATGGTCTCGATCTCCTGACCTCATGATCTGCCCGCCTCGGCCTCCCAAAGTGCTGGGATTACAGGCGTGAGCCACCGCGCCTGGCTAAAATTGCAACATTCTTTACCTCTTGTTCCTCCTGTGATTCCTAAGACCTCCAGTCTCTTCAGCCCCCATTTCTCCCAATTCATTGGCCCTCTTCTTGGCCTCATTTCCTTCCTCATCCCAGCTGGATTCCAGGCCTCCTCTCCTAAACCTCTGGCCAAATCTCAGTTCCTTGGCCCCTTGCCTCCACCACATCCATCCTGCAGACTCCTAGGTTTCAGCTCCATCCAGCCATCTGTCTTTGCTGCCCTGCACCCAGACTGTGGAGCACTGCTGGGGGAGGACTCGTGCTTCCAGGATTCCTTGTTGATGCCGGCTCATTCTGCATAGCCCTCCTACACTGCATCCCTCATTCTGCACATCCCCTTTTGAAGCCCTCTCTTTATTCAAGTCCCTTACCTAGTGGTGCACTGATGGACTGGCTCTCAAAAAAAAGTGGGGAGGGGGGTCGTTGATTTCCGTGGTGTAAATGTTCTCATCATGGCCACCATTTTTTTTTTAACTTAAAATTTTTTTTCTTTTTAGAAATGGGGTCTCACTATGTTGATCAGGCTGGTCTTGAACTCCTGGCCTCAAGCGACCCTCCCACTCGGCCTCCCAAAGTGCTAGGATTACAGGCACGAGCTACCATTTCCAGACACCATGGTCACTATTTTAATGTCTGTGTTTAGCAACCTACTCATAGAATTCTTGTAATTTTAACATCTAGCTCTCCTCCCTACGTGATCTCCATCTTACTGCACAGAGTAAATAGAGGCCATCAGGTGGGAGCTCACTCCACTTTTTGGCCCTCTAGTTAGATGGTTTGCCTTTGCCCATTTTTGCTGCATTCCCTCTGTCTTCCTTCGAGATGTGGTCCCACCCCCTCTGGATCCAGGGCCTCCCATCAGTTCAGGAAGTTCATCCTTGGGTTCTCCTGTCTTCCTCCTGTCCCTCAGGCTGTAAGCATGATTGTGTTTTCCAATGCTTTAAAAAAAAAAATGACAACCATAAATACTCCTCTAGACCTTGCGATCCAATCTCCCTTCCTTCACAGCCAAGCTTCGTGAAATTTTCCAGAATCCAAGTTTCCACCCCCAACCTCACCTTCCCTCCTCATCTCATGGTAATCCAAACTCTGCTTTTCCACCACTCCTAAAAGTGCTGGGGTGAAATTTAGCAGGGCCTTTCTGTGCTCTCTTTCCAGTCCTTATCTTGCTAGACCTCTCCGCTGCTTTCGGCCCTGCTGACGCTTTTCATCCTCTGCAGAATCTGTAAAGCTCTTGGCTTCTCTTGACTTCTGGGGCAGCACCCTCCTTCCTGAGTGTCAGCGTTCTCCAAGGTTCCAGCCAACCCTGATGCCCCACAGGCATCTCAGGGTTACCAACTCTGAAACCCAAGCTCGGCATCAGGGCTCTGAGACTTCTGCTCTGAGGGTTGATGGTGCCTGGAAGAGCTAACTCAAGGAGAACAATGGTGAATCAAGAGTTGAGAGGGGTTTCACCATGTTAGCCAGGATGGTCTCAATCTCCTGACCTCGTGCGCCTACCTCGCCCTCCCAAAGTGCTGGGATTACAGGTGTGAGCCACCATGCCTGGCTAAAATTGCAATATTCTTTACCTCTTGTTCCTCCTGTGATTCCTAAGACCTCCAGCCTCTTCAGCCCCCATTTCTCCCAATTTATTGGCCCTCTTCTTGGCCTCATGAGTCCTCTGCTTATGAGTAGTGACTTTGGACACATCCTTTCACCCTTCTGTGCATCAGTTTTCCTACGTGTAGATTGGGCATAACAACAGGTTGTTGGAGAGGTTAAGTTAGCACCCTACATGGTGCATGGTAAGCACTCATCACATGCCAGCTGTTACTAACGGGTTCCCAGTGTCAACGCTGCTACTGAAATATCTCCTTTCATTTTCTTCCTCACTATTCCTACAGCTCCTGCCTCTGCTCATCACTTCTCCTTCACCCCTCTTATCCTGATTGCTGCAGTAACCTCCTGCCTTCAAAGGCATCTCCCTCCAATCTATTCCCTATATTTAAAAAATTCATGTTTGGCTCTGTGACTTTTCTGTTAAAATAACCCCCCTTGGCCTGGCTTGGTGGCTTACACCTGTAATCCCAGCACTTTGGAAGGCTGAGGCGGGTGGATCACCTGAGGTCAGGAGTTTGAGACCAGGCTGACCAACATGGTGAAACCCTGTCTCTGCTAAAAATACAAAAATTAGCAGGGCGTGGTGGCAGGTGCTTGTAATCCCAGCTACTCAGGAGGCTGAGGCAGGAGAATCGCTTGAACCCAGGAGGCGGAGGTTGGAGTGAGCTGAGATCGCACCATTGCACTCCAGCCTGGGCGACAGAGCGAGACTCCATCTCAAAACAAACAAACAAACACACAAAAAAACAAACAAGCATCAGAACTGGTTTATTAAAGCCCCTGGGTTAAAGCTCTGCCCCCTTGGCTTCATTTCCAGGACTTCCCTCTCCAGTCTCTCTCTCCCGCCCACCCTGTATCTCCAGCCACCGCGGGCTCCCTGCAGGTTTTGCACAGTGAGCCCTGCTCTTTCAGACCTCTCCATTGTTGCAGGTGCCATTCTGCCTGGCTGAAGCCCATCCTCCCTTCCTCCCTGGGCTTCACCTCCTTGAGGAAGTTCATCTGGGTCTGTAGGTGACTGTGGCTGTAGAGACTGGTGGGATTGAGATGGCTGACACTCGCACACTGACCCCCACCTGGGCCGTCCTCCGCTTGCTCCTGAGTTTGCTTTGAGGACTGACCTCATTTGAGCCCAGTGTTTACAGGAGTCTCTGGCATTATGGAAAACTAAGGGTCCCACAGTGACAAGACTTGTTTTCCCACAGCTGCCGAACCCTTCAGCCCTCCGCGAGGAGACTCAGCTCAGAGCACAGCGTGTGACAGACACATGGCTGTGCAACGCCGTCTAGATGTCATGGAGGAGGTAACAGGGTGGTTTGGAAGGACATGCGAGTTCAGGACCACCTTCTAGGATGGTGTTTTTATGGGCAGATGCAAGCTTGCTTTGGAATGTGAGGACATCCGGGCCGATCCTGCCCTGTGGCCACCTCGTCCAACATCACCCTCCCATCTAGGCTGCCGGGCTGCCCAGCCCCCAGTGGACCCTGCCTCCCCTAAGGCCTTGCTTACCCCCACCCGGATATTTCAACATCATTACTGGATGGGAAGGTGGAAATTCAGTCACTGTTTTGTTATATAGCCACGATTCCTAACTTGTGTGGGGAAAAGTTTACATCTTTATTGTCACAAGCCTTTAACTGAAATTGAGCATTCTCATTCATCATAAATACAAACAGCGAGCCGTGGTATTAACAGTACTATAACTTTGTCATCAATAGAAATCCAGATAATTTCATCTTCTAGTTATGAATATCTCAACATATAATTTTTATCCTTCCTTATGTCAAAATTTCAGTTGTTATTAGGCCTGATGTTAAATCATGTGATTTAGTGAGTTAATAAATACATTTTATTTTTTTTGAGGCAGGGTCTCTGTCTGTCTACCAGGCTGGAGTGCCGTGGTGCAGTCTCGGCTCACTGCAACTTCCACCTCCCAGGCTCAAGCAATCCTCCCACCTCAGTCTCCCAAGTAGCTGAGACTACAGACACATGTGCCACCATGCCTAGCTAATTTCTGTATTTATTTTGTAGAGGCAAGGTTTTGCTATGTTGCCCAGGCTGGTCTCGAACTCCTGAGCTCAAGCCATCTGCCCACCTCGGCCTCCCAAGGTGCTGGGATTACAGGCATGAGCCACTGTGCCCGGCCAATACATATATTACATCAAAAATTTAAATTTTTTTTTGACAGAGTCTTGCCCTGTCACCCAGGCTGGAGCCCA